>NT_167249.2:1541944-1728419 GCF_000001405.40 Homo sapiens | reverse complement strand
GGCCATGATGTAATGAATCATGCCTAAGAAATATGGCTTCCATCAAAACCCAAAAGGGAAGAGTCAGAGAGCTTCTGTATGGCTGAACACAGGGAGGCTTATAGGAAGGTGAACAATAACTCAGACATGTGCCAGGGAGGGTAGCACTTCCCAAACACATGGGGCAGAAGCTCCTGCACTCAAGACCCTTTCAGACCTCACCCTATGTATCTCTTCATGTGGCTCTTATCTCTTCATGTGGCTCTTTATCCTTTAAAATATCCTTTTAAATAAACTGGTTAATGTATGTAAGTGTTTCCTGGCATGCTATGAGCCATTCTAGCAAATCAATCAAACCTGAGGCTGGGTTTTGGGAACCCTGATTTATAGTCAGTGAGTTAGCAACACAGGCAAAATAATCTGGGGCTTGAGATTGTCATCAGAAGTGAGAGGGTGACAGTCGTGAGGACTGAGCCATCAACTTGCGGGATCTAAAATTATCTCCAGGGAGATAGTGTCAGAATTGAGTTAGAGGATACCCAGCTGGCGTCCATAACAGAACCGATTGCTTGCTTGTTTTGGGGGAGAAATCCCCTACGTTTCATCACAGAAGCCTTCTGTGTTGATAGTTGTTGGGGTGTAAGAACAGTAGAAAAAAGACTTTGAATTTTCCCACAAAATTTTGCCACAAAAGTGTGGTTAAAAGATTTTTTAAAAACTGGCACATTTGTCTAGAGCACTTACCATGAATGGAGCTTACAGGACTGGAAATTGCTCTGGGTGTCAGTGAGTGGCGAGTGAATGTGAAGTCTAGGGCATTACTGTACACTACTTAGACTTTATAAACACTGTACATTTAGGCTACACTAAATTAATTTTAAAAATCATTTTCTTTCTTTAATAATAAATTAACCTTAGCTTACTGTAACTTTTTAATCTTTTTTTCTCCACCCTTTTTTTTAAGTTCAGGGGTACATGTACAGAATGTGCAGGTTTGTTACGTAGGTAAATGTGTGCCATGGTGGTATGCTGCAGAGATCATCCCATCACCTAGGTATTAAGGCCAACATCCATTGGCTATTCTTCCTGATGCTTCCCTCCCCTAGCCCCATGCCCTCTAACAGACCCCAGTGTGTATTGTTCTCCCCCATGTATCCATGTGTTGTCATCATTCAGCTCCCACTTATAAGTGAGAACACATGGTGTTTTGTTTTCTGTTCCTGGGTCAGTTTGCTGAGGATAATGGCTTCCCACTCCATTCATGTCCCTGCAAAGGACATGGTCTTATTCCTTTATGTGGCTGCATCGTATTCCATGGTGTATATGTACCACATTTTCTTTATCCAGTCTATCATTGATGGGCATTTATGTTGATTCCATGTCTTTGCTATTGTGAATAGTGCTGCAATGAACATATGCGTGTATATATCTTTATAATAGAATGATTTATATTCCTTTGGGTATGTATCCAGTAATGAGATTGCTAGGTCAATTTCTGCCTCTAGGTTTTTGAGGAATCACCACACTGTCTTCCACAATGGTTGAACGAATTTACATTTCCACCAACAGTGTGAAAGCATTGCTTTTTCTCTGTGACTTCACCAGCATCTGTTGTTTTTTGACTTATTAATAGCCACTCTGGTATCTCATTGTGGTTTTTATTTGCATTTCTCTAATTATCAGTGATGTTCAACTTTTCTCATATGTTTGTTGGCTGCATGTATGTCTTTTTTTGAGAGGTGTCTGCTCATGTCCTTTGCCTACTTTTTAATGGGGTTGTTTGTTTTTTTCTTGTAAATTTGCTGAAGCTCCTTGTAAACTCTGGATATTAGACCTTTGTCAGATGTATAGATTGCAAAAATCTTCTCCTATTCTGCAGGTTGTCTATTCACTCTGCTGATAGTTTCCTTTGCTGTGCAGGAGCTCTTTAGTTTAATTAATTCCATTAGTCAATTTTTGCTTTTGTTGAAATTGCTTTTGGAGTCTTCATCATGAAATCTTTGCCCATGCCTATGTTCTGAAGAGTATTGCATAGATTTTCTTCTAGGGTTTTTATAGTTTTGGGTTTTACATTTAAGTCTTTAATCCATCTTGAATTAATTTTTGTATATAGTTTAAGGAACGGGCCTAGTTTCAATTTTCTGCATATGGCAAGCCAGTTCTCCCAGCACCATTTATTAAATAGGGAATTCTTTCCCCATTACTTGTTTTGGTCAGACTTGTCAAAGATCAGATGGTTGTAGGTGTGTGATCTTATTTCACAGTTCTTTATTCTGTTCCATTAGTCTATGTATCTGTTTTTGTATCAGTACCATGCTGTTTTAGTATTGTAACATTGTAGTATAGTTTGAAGTCAGGTAATGTGATGGCTTCAGCTTTGTTCTTTTTGCTTAGAATTGTCTTGGCTATTCAGGCTCTTTTTTTGGTTCCATATGAATTTAAAAATAGTTTTGTTTTTTTTTTCAGGCTAGGCGCAGTGGCCCACACTTATAATCCCAGCACTTTGGGAGGCTGAGGTGGACAGATCATGAGGTCAGGAGTTCAAGACCAGCCTGGCCAACATTGCGAAACCCCATCTCTACTAAAAATACAAAAATTAGCTGGGTGTGGTGGCGCGCATTTGCAATCCCAGCTACTTGGGAGGTTGAGGCAGGAGAATCGCTTGAACCCGGGGACGCGGAGGTTGCAGTGAGCCGAGATCACGCCACTGCACTCCAGCCTGGGTGACAGAGCAAGACTCTATCTTAAAAAAAAATAGTGTTTTTTTTTCTTCTAATTCTGTGAAGAATGTCTATGATAGTTTAATGGGAATAGCATCAAATCTACAAATCACTTTGGGCAGTATGGCCATTTTCATGATATGGATTCTTCCTATCTATGAACATGGAATGTTATCCTATTTGTTTGTATCCTCTCTGATTTTTCTTTGAGCAGTGGTTTGTAGTTCTCCTTGAAGAGGTCCTTCACTTCCCTTGTTAGCTGTATTCCTAGGTATTTCATTCTTTCTGTAGGAATTGTGAATGGGAGTTCATGATTTGGCTCTCTGCTTGCCTGTTGTTGGTATATAGGAATGCTAGCGATTTTTGCACATTCTGTATCCTGAGACGTTGCTGAAGTTCCTTATCAGCTTAAGAAACTGCTGTTCTCATGATGATGAAACTAATATAAGTGGTGAGAGGCTTGTCTGGTGCCGGTTTTCAAGGGGAATGTTTCCAGCTTTTGCCCATTCAGTATGATATTGGCTGTGGGTTTGTCATATATTGCCCTTATTATTTTGAGATCTCTTCCTTCAACACCTAGTTTATTAAGAGATTTTAACATGAAAGTATATTGAATTTTATCAAGTGCCTTTTCTGCATCTATTGAGATAATCATGTGGTTTTTTCTTTAGTTCTGTTTATGTTATGAATCGCATTTATTGATTTGTGTATGTTGAACCAACCTTGCATCCTGGGGATGAAGCCAACTTGATTGTGATGAATAAGCTTTTTGATGTGCTGCTGGATTCGGTTTGCCAGAATTTTATTGAGGATTGTTGCATTGATGTTCATCATGCATGGCCCGAAGTTTTCTTTTTTTGTTATATCTCTGCCAAGTTTTGGTATCAGGATGATGCTGGCCTTTTAAAATGAGTTAGGGAAGAGTCCCTCCTTTTCAATTGTTTGGAATAGTTTTAGTGAAAATGGTACCAGCTCTCCTTTGTACTTTTGATAGAATTCAGCTATCAATCTGTCTGGTCCTCGGCTTTTTTTGGTTGGTAGGCTATTTATTGCCTCAACTTCAGAACTCATTACTGGCCTGCTAAGAGATTCAATTTCTTCCTGGTTCAGTCTTGGGAGGGTATATGTGTGCAGGAATTTATCAACTTCTTCTAGATTTTCTAGTTTATTTGCATAGAGGTGTTCGTAGTATTCTCTGATTGTTGTTTGTATTTCTGTGGGGCCAGTGGTAATATCACCCTTGTTATTTCTGATTTGTTTATTTGATTCTTCTCTCTCTTCTTCTCTATTAGTCTAGATAGTGGTCTATTTTATTAATTCTTTCAAAAAGACAGCTCCTAGATTCATTAACGTTTTGAACGGTTTTGTGTGCCTCTCTCTCCTTCAGTTCAGCTCTGATCTTGGTTATTTCTTGTCTTCTGCTAGCTTTGGGATTTGTTTTTGTTTCTCTAGTTCTTTTAGTTGTGATACTAGATTGTTAACTTGAGATTTTTCTGGTGTTTTGATATAGGCATTTAGTGCTATAAATTTCCCTCTTTACACTGCTGTAGCTGTGTCCCAAAGATTCTGATACATTGTCTCTTCATTCTCATTAGCTTCAAATAACTTCTTGATTTCTGCCTTAATTTAATAATTTACCCAACAGTCATTCAGGAGCAGGTTGTTCAATTTCCATGTAGTTGTATGGTTTTGAGCGAATTTCTTACTTTTGGTTTCTAATTTGATTGTGCTGTGGTCTGAGAGACTGTTTATTATGATTTCAGTTCTTTTTGCATTTGCTGAGGAGTGTTTTACTTTTGATTATGTGGCCAATTTTAGAGTAGGTGCTGTGTAGCAATGAGAAGAATGTATATTCTATTGTTTTTGGGTGGAAAGCTCTGTAGATGTCTATCAGATCCACTTGATCCAAAGCTGAGTTCAAGTCTTGAACTTTTTTATATTTATAAACCTTAATTTTTTTAAAAAATTCAACTATTTTGTAATAGCACTTAGCTTAAAACACCAGCACATTATTCAGCTATACAAAAATATTTTTCCTTATATTCTCATTCTAGAAACTATTTCTACTTAATTTTTTAACCTTTTAATCTTTTTTGGTAAAAACAAAGACATACATTAGCCTAGGCTGACACAGGGTCAGGATCAACAATATCACCAACTTCAGCCTTCACATCTTGTCCCACTGGAAGTTTTCACAGGTAATAACAAGCATGGAACTGTCATCTCCTGTGATAACAATGCCTTCTTCTGGAATACCTCCTAAAGGACCTGCCTGACGCTGTTTTAATTTAACTTAAAAAATAATTAGAGCACACTCTAAAATCACCATAAAAAGTATAGTAAATACATAAACCAGTAACATATTTATTATCATCAAGTATTACATGCTGTTTTTAACTGTATGGGGTAGACTTTTATAGGATTGGCAGTGCAGTAGGTTTATTTACATCAGCATCACCACAAGCACATGATTAATGCATTGTGTTATGACATTACAATGGCTACAATGTCACTAGGTGATAGGAATTTTTCAGCTCCGTTTAATAGGATGACAGTCGTATATGTGATCGATCATTGACAGAAACATCATTAAGCAGTGCATGACTGTATAACACAGTGGTGTGTGTGTGTGTGTGTGTGTGTATTTTGTGTGTATAAGTTTGTTAAAGATGAAATTGAGGTTTCAACTGGGCACTAAGATATAACATATTAACTTTGCCTGTGAATTGTCAAATTACCCTATTCAGATTTTCAAATGCAATGACTATTGAAGGATTAGAGGTCTTCTGACTTGAACTGTGATAGACTAGCTCATTTGAAACTCATCCTCCCACTGTAAACAAGTATAAAAGCCAGACAAAACATACAATGCAGTTGTGCAGCTGCAAAACAGCAGCCAGAGCAGGATTATCACCCTCCAGAGAATGGAGTCCCTGAAAGAGAGACTCACATCCTCATCAGCTTTCTTTCTAAGAGGATTTTTTTCAAAATTCAATGAAGGGAAATGGAACCCAAGCAGAGAGAATCAATCTCAGTAGCAAAGGAATCAGAGATCAGAGTTCAGGCTTGGCACTTTGACTGGGATTTAAGAGTAGGGTGCTGAAGGAGGGAGCTACAGAGAAGAAACTCCCAAAATCTGCACTCCAAAGCTGCATATGCTCCAGGTGATACTGTAAGAAGCCCACCAGAGAACAGCTGCTTGGGGATTGCATGCTATGTAGAAATGCCAAAGGCTTCATAGTGTGAGGAGATATTGGAATTTTAGCCCAGCCAAACCCGGGTTGAGACATGAGGATGGTGAAGCACTATGAGTGAGGGCCGTGGCCTTGGAGTAAGTACCATACTGAAATAGCAAAGTAGCAAAGTCTAAAAATCAAGCCTTGGGAAAGGATTCCCTATTTAATAAATGGTGCTGGGAAAACTGGCTAGCCATATGTAGAAAGCTGAAACTGGATCCTTTCCTTACACCTTATAAAAAATCAATTCAAGATGGATTAAAGACTTAAACATTAGACCTAAAACCATAAAAACCCTAGAAGAAAACCTGGGCATTACATTCAGGACATAGGCATGGGCAAGGACTTCACGTCTAAAACACCAAAAGCAATGGCAACAAAAGCCAAAATTGACAAATGGGATCTAATTAAACTAAAGAGCTTCTGCACAGCAAAAGAAACTACCATCAGAGTGAGCAGGCAACCTACAACATGGGAGAAAATTTTCGCAACCTACTCATCTGACAAAGGGCTAATATCCAGAATCTACAATGAACTCAAACAAATTTACAAGAAAAAAAAAACCACCCCATCAAAAAGTGGGCGAAGGACATGAACAGACGTTTCTCAAAAGAAGACATTTATGCAGCCAAAAAATACATGAAAAAATGCTCACCATCACTGGCCATCAGAGAAATGCAAATCAAAACCACTATGAGATATCATCTCACACCAGTTAGAATGGCAATCATTAAAAAGTCAGGAAACAACAGGTGCTGGAGAGGATGTGGAGAAATAGGAACACTTTTATGCTGTTGGTGGGACTGTAAACTAGTTCAACCATTGTGGAAGTCAGTGTGGCGATTCCTCAGGGATCTAGAACTAGAAATACCATTTGACCCAGCCATCCCATTACTGGGTATATACCCAAAGGGCTATAAATCATGCTGCTATATAGACACATGTACACGTATGTTTATTGCAGCACTATTCACAATAGCAAAGACTTGGAACCAACCCAAATGTCCAACAATGATAGACTGGATTAAGAAAATGTGGCACATATACACCATGGAATACTATGCAGCCATAAAAAGTGATGAGTTCATGTCCTTTGTAGGGACATGGATGAAATTGGAAATCATCATTCTCAGTAAACTAACGCAAGAACAAAAAACCAAACACCGCATATTCTCACTCATAGGTGGGAATTGAACAATGAGAACACATGGACACAGGAAGGGGAACATCACACTCTGGGGATTGTTGTGGAGTGGGGGGAGGGTGGAGGGATAGCATTGGGAGATATACCTAATGCTAGATGACGAGTTAGTGGGTGCAGCACACGAGCATGGCACATGTATACCTATGTAACTAACCTGCACATTGTGCACATGTACCCTAAAACTTAAAGTATAATAAAAAAATAAATAAAATAAAATAAAATAAAATAAAATCAAGCCTAAGCAGAATCAAAGTGGGTCCGATTTTTACCAAAGGTAATTCTTTTATAATTAATGAACTATCAAATTGTTAGCAGTCTGTGGAGGAAGATGGCAAAATCCAGAGCCTCTATAACACATCATCCAGAATATGTGGCATGCCAAGCAGCAGAGAAAATGCAACAAGTAGAGATAAAATCAGACTAAGTATTCCATGGTGTATATGTGCCACATTTTCTTAATCCAGTCTATCATACTATGCAGCCATAAAAAATGATGAGTTCATGTCCTTTGTAGGGACATGGATGAAACTGGAAACCATCATTCTCAGCAAACTATCGCAAGGAGAAAAAACCAAACACCTCGTGTTCTCACTCATAGGTGGGAATTGAACAATGAGAACACGTGGACACAGGAAGGGGAACATCACACACCGGGGACTGTTGTGGGGTGGGGGAAGTGGGGAGGGATAGCATTAGGAGGTATACCTAATGTTAAATGACGAGTTAATGGGTGCAGCACACCAACATGGCACATGCATACATATGTAACTAACCTGCACGTTGTGCACATGTACGCTAAAACTTAAAGTATAATAAAAAAAATCAGGCTAAGAGTTGATGTGGATATTGAAGCAGGCAAGCAAGAACATTCTCAAAGTATTTATGATTAATATGTTAAGGAAAATAGAGGGAAAGATGGGCAAACTATTTCAAAATCCCCAGAAAGATCAATCATAAAAAGAGAGAAAACAGAAATGAACACTATAAAGAACAACATAAAACCGTATATTTTATTAAAATGAAAATAAGAGAATATTAGACACAACTTCCTGACAATACCTTTTAAAATTTAGTGCAATGAAATGAGTTCTTGAAAACGACAATTGAACAAGCCAACAGAAAACTGAATAGAAAATATAAGTAGTCCTATATCCATTAAGAAATGGGATTCTAATTAAATTCTTTCCCACCAAAAACACTCTTTGCCCACGTTTTTTCCCCTGTCAATTCTTCCAAAACTTTTTTTAAAAAAAGTCAGTCTTATTCAGTCATCTCTTGGTATCCTTTTGGGATGGGATCTAAGGCCCCCTGTGGATACCAAAATCTATGAATGCTCAGGTCCCATGTATAAAATGGTCTAGTATTTGCTTATTACCTATGCACATCCTCCCATATACTTTAAATCACCTATAGATTACTAATACCTAATTCAATGTAAATTATTCGCAAATAGTTGTTATACTATATTGTTTAGGAAATAATGATAAGAAAAAGTCTATATATCTTCAGTACAGATGTAACTGCTGTAGGTAGGCCTAACTACATAGTATACATCAGCAGCAACAACAGTTTCGATCCTCAGGTAGTTAAATTCACAGATGTGAAACACACAGACATGGAGGGCAGACTATCATATATTCTTTTAGATAATAAAAAAAGAGTAAACACCTTCCAACTAATTTTATGAGGCAACATAGCCCAGAGAAGAACTTAAACATGACAATGACATTACAAAAAAGATATCCACCATCTAAATGAACTGATGAACACAGCCACCAAAATTCCATCTAAAATATTAGAAAATAGAAGCAAGTAATATATGGAGAGGATAATGTACAATGGGACCGAATGGGATTTATAAGAGAAATGTGACTTTAAAAAATCAGAGTAATTTACCACATGAATAGAAAAAGGTAGAAAAACATGCAGTTATGTCAACAGATGCATGAAAATCATTTGATAAAATTCAACAACTATTCATTATAAAAACTCAATAAACCAGAAATAAAAGAGAACTTCCTTAAGCTAATAAAGTTATTTATAAAAAAGAAATACCTCTATCTAAAGTCAAAATTAATGAGAAAAATATTGAAAACTACTCCTCTGTGTTGGGGACAAAATAAGGATATCCAATATCATTCCTTTTTTTTTTTTTTTTGAGATGGAGACTTGCTTTGTCACCCAGGCTGGACTGCAGTGGTGCGATCTCGGCTCACTGAAAACTCCGCCTCCCAGGTTCAGGCGATTCTCCTGCCTCAGCCTCCTGAGTAGCTGGGATTACAGACATGTGCCACCATGCCCAGCTAATTTTTGTCGTTTTAGTAGAGATGGGGTTTCACCATGTTGATCAGGCTGGTCTTGAACTCCTGACCTCGTGATCTGCCCGCCTTGGCCTCCCGAAGTGCTGGGATTACAGGCGTGAGCCACCGTGCCTGGCCACTTTTTTAAAAAATTATTTTTTATTTCAAGGTTTTTAGGGGTGGGTGGTGTTTGGTTACCTGAATTAATTCTTTAGTGGTGATTTCTGAGATTTTGGTGCACCCAGCAGTCAGGAAGGATTGAGCAACAGGGTGGGGAATATCCATCTCCCCACCTCCCTACCCCGATCAGCCTGAACTGATGGCAGAAACTGACTGCTGATGCTTGCTTTACTCACCCACATTCCCCATTCACTTATTCTTCATCAATTTGGTTCACATGTTCCCAGCAGTCGCTTCACCCCAGAAGCAGTCTGACCCCTATTCTTCAATACCAGGGAAACTCAAAGCCCTCTCTGCCCCCATCTCTGATATTACACTTCAGCTCAACATCATCACATGAAGGATCCAACTCTTCAGGGCAGATGTTCTCCCAGAGTCAGCCCCTGAATTTTGGCCCCAGATGTGCACCCCCACCCCCAACCTTTCCTTTTCTGTTTTGCTGTGAATCTGTCAACCACTGGGAACTGGCAGGGAGAGGTAGGAAGAGGGAGAGATTTCTTCATGCTGTGTCAAGGCATTGAGACAGACCTCTCCTTTTCCCCTGAACCTTGTATTCTACTCTTCCCAGATGCATGAAATAAAGCACAGGCCAGAAATGTCTATTTAAAGAGTAAAAATCCACAGTATAAAATTATGCAGACATAGTAGACATGGGGTAATTTATAACAGTGTGAGAAGGGTGAGGGGACCTCAAGGTGCCAAAAAGGCTGGTCCCAGGCTTGCCAGGAGGAACCGTCACCAGGACACACACTCATAAATGCACATACAATGTGTTTAAAGGCACATATGTGCTTTTGTGCATGTAATTACTGCACATACAATACATTAAAAGAATAAAAGTTAATAAGATAATAACAAAACAACAAAAATAATAATACAAAATATTATGGCACAGCTGCAAACACCTCATAGCAACTAACAGTTGTCAATCCCTGACCACAAGAAATAAGTGCTGTTTCCCCCATTTAATATATGAGGAAACTGAGGCATCAAGAGGGAAAGTGCTGGTGAGACCTGGGTAGGGAGCTGAATCCAGTGGAGCCAGCAGACCCAGGAGCTGGCACCAGAGACTGAAATTCCAGCTGTATGGTGCCCTGGTGGTCTCCTGTCCCAACCAGGTGTTGATCTGGGCTTTGTAGGCTCATGTGCTCTGGAGAAAAGAGAGAAACAGTAAATGCTCCACTGGGTGCAGAGTGCTGCTTTTCATTCCCTGAGGATTTCTCCCTCCTCAGTCACTCCGAAATCAGATTCACCCTTTCTCTGAGGGAAGAACTGACGCCCCCACTTTTTCCTCCCTCCCATCCTAGTTTCTCCAGCCTCCACCAGTCTCCTCCTGTGATTCCCTCAACAATGATACCTGCCCTGTGCCCACCATCCACCATGTGGGGAATGAAAGGGCCTCATGACTAAAGGACAAGAATCAGATCCAGGAGGGAACCCGGGGCCCTCCCCTCCTCCCAAGCCCCACCAGCCTAGACACAGTGGGAAACCTCCCCAAAGAGAGGACTGGTCCTAGCTCCGTGTCCTACCAGGCCTGGGCTGGGTCACGCACGCGGTCCTTCTCCCTCTCAGTCCCCAGGCCCTCCTCACCTACAGAGGCACTTGCACAACAGGGCACACCCTGCACACTGGGCTCCCCGCTCCACCTGCAGCTCAGCGTTCCACCCTCCGAGCCCTGAGCAGCCAGCCCCTAACTGCAGAGCCCATCAAGAAGCCCGGGGGCTCGGCACAAAAACACGTGGCTGCCACCGGGTCTGCACCTGACTGGATCCTGGGACCCTCCACGCTTGAGGACACCCAACCTTTCCAGACACTCAGCACCCACCCAGGTCCGTGACCTGCACTTGGGCCATCCTTGCTCCTGCCTGGTCCACTCACCCCTGGAAATGCACCTCCACCCCAGGGCTGCTGCTGGCTGAGGCTGCAAGACCTTCCTGCCCTGTTCCTAGCAGGGCTTCCACCCAGGCCACTGCCCTCACAGCCCACAGGGAATCTTCTTCTTCTCCCTGTGGAGCAGGGGGTTTCTGGAGACCCCTCAGCCTGAGGCTGCCTCCACCCACCCTCTGCACTCCAGGATTGCCACTGCCACAACCACCATCTCCAAAATGGACCCTCCTGGAGAGGAAGCTCCAAGTTTGACTTCTCATTTGATTGTACATGCTTTACAACATCAATATTAGAGGAAATCCTATTAAGATTATCCAGCGGAAATTGTGAACATCTTTATTGGACATCAACATTTAAAGGAGAATTTTTGAGAAATTAGCACATGACTTTCACACCCTTTCCCTGGCCAATGCCCCGTGACCTACAAGGCAAACTTTCCTGCCCACGGGGACCCAGAAGTGACAACCCCTCTATAAGAGACAGTGCAGGTGAAAGCAGGAGCGACCACAAACCTGCACTGCCCCTGCTGTGGGTGCCTCCTGGACGGGGCCCTCTTGCTGCAGGGCAGGGGATGAACCTTCCCATCTGCCCAGGACTGAGGGGCCAACAGACAGTGCAATTAGGTTTAAGGATGAAAAACCCCCACCCCCACCACCAGGTGCAAAAAAGTGGGGAAATGGCAGAAAGACTCCAGTTTCCTGGACACCCAGCCTCTCACTATCCCCTGCACTGCCTCTGTCTTTGCAGAAACACAAAACTTCCTGTTTTCTCTTTTACTCTCCCCTCAAACAACTGACTGTGGGGGAAATCATCCTGACCATCCTTTACTCCAAATTTACAGGAAAGTGACCACCTTGAGAAAGGCTCAGGGAGGGCAAGGTGAGGCCACAGAGCACAGAACAAAGCCCAAAAAACATGGTCCCTGAGCACTGTGTCCCTGAGGGACTGTGTCCTTCAGGGCCTGGACAAGGAAACACCTAGAAGTAGGATGAAAACAGGGATGACAGCTTCCCTGACAAGGGGCTGGTCCCCACTCCCCAAATGGCCCAGAGACATCTGCATATCTACTCATCCATATTATCTGCAAGGGAACTCAGGGTGCAGGGCCATGTGGTGGGAACCTGGAAAGAGCATGGCCTCGAGTGATCCAGGAGACACGACACCCCCGAGACAGCTCCTGGAGGAGGCGCGTGGGGAGCTACAAAGTGGACAAAGATGGCTGTGTGCACTCAGGACCCTCCCTGTTACAAGGGGGTCTCCAAGGGGCTGCACAGGCAGGCCCCCCAGTCTGGGCCTCATAGGTCTTTTTCTTGGTGTCCTCCTGATGGCTGGAGAAATAGGGGAGGGGGATGCAGAGAGGAAGGGACTAGAGGCACCACCTCTCCTCATATTCCTCTCCAGTTTCTAGCCCTCCCCAGATCATAGCCGTCTTTACTATTTGCCCCCTCTGAAGCCATCATCATCCAGGCCCTCAGCAATCAGCACATGATTCCCAGCTCACCCCACCCTGATGCACGCTGGTGAGCCTGAGAGACAGAGGGATGGGGATGAGGACAGAGCAGGTGCCACGGCCCTCCTTGCTGCCCACTCCTCACCTGCAGCAAGAGGAGGCCACAGATGGACATTCGAGGGCCTTGGCCCGGCCCTGGCTTGGGCAGGACTTAGGGGTCTAGATGAAATTGTAGCTCCTATTCCCCTCCCAAATACCCCAACTTCCAAACCCTGTTCCAAAGCCTTGTCATCTACATGCCTGTCTGTGCAGGAGCTATGAGGGGACCCTACTGCCCAGACAGGGTCCCTCCCATCTCCAGCCACTGCCCCCTTTTTTCACCTGGGTCCTCTGCAGCTGATATTTTCTTCTTGCACCAAAGGACACAGAGAATAATAATAATGATAACAAAAAAAGCAGCAGCCGCAACATACGGAATGGTTGCCATAGACTCTGAAGCATCAGGGCTTTCCCTGAAAAAAAGGGCCTTGTTGCACACTGGGCACTCAGAGTTCCAGTTATCTCTGCTGTGCCCACCTTGGCCTGACCCTTTCTAGGTCAGAACACTTGAGGGTCACCCCAGGCTCACCAGAGGACACCAGGGTAAGTGCTGTGATTCCTGCTGTGTCCCACATAGCAGGTAGCCCTCTGCTCCTCTTCTTGGGGAATCTTAGTGGCCACCCAGGTCTGGTAGGTCCCATTCCCATTGGGCAGGACACCCACAGACCGATGGGCATCCTGGCTCAGAAAATGCCCCAACCTGACAACAGGCCAGAGAGATATTCTGGGGATAGAAGCCGGAAGCCCAGCATGTGGGGGTGACTTTGTTCTCTGAGGCCTGGCATTCACCATGGTAGGCACTGGATAGGAAAGGGCAGAGCCAGTGAGGCACATGGCCAAGCCCCGCTCCCTCTAAGGGAGACTCAGGGAACAGGGCTGCTCCTCTCCAGTGTTCTTACTCTGGCTGAAGCCCTCATGGACCCCGGACCTTTTGCAAGTCTGTCCTTACCCTGGGGCCCAATTCCTTTGGGCTGGCAGGAGGATGGGCCTCAGACTATGGCCTCAGGCTCTGAGATCCCCGCATTGATGCTGAAGGGGAGGGATGTCAGGGTTGGACTCCTGGGTCATGAGGCCAGGAGGGAACTCTCTGGGATGGGCAGGCTGGGAGGCAGAGGGGGCAGCCCTAGCCCTGAGGGCTTCCTCTCCTGCCTAACACCCACCCCAGGGTGAGGATTCTGTTGGGAGTGGAGCATTGCTTTCCCAGATTACAACACTGGATGGTTCAGTCCCCAACCCACTGTCTTTATCCAGTGGCTCTAACAAGAGAGGAAAGTCAGGACACAGTACGCCAACAGGAAACGCCTGCATCCATAGCACAGAGAGGGTTTCCCAGGACAGAGCTGGCAGGGGAGTGACTCTAGTGAAATGGGGGAGAGGAAAGCCCCTGCCCAGGGTCGGTACCTGTTCTCCTGATGCCCTCCTAGGATTCGAGATGTTACTGTAGTTTCTGCAGACGGTCTGCCATCACAGGGTGAAAGTGTCTTGGCCTGTGTGGCATCTTCATCCCAGAAATTTCTGATATTCATAGCTAAGGTCTGAGCTCTGGAGGACTGGGGCACTGTCCATTCCTGAGTCTCCAGGTTTTGGGGGAGGAAGAGCTCCCCATCATAGTAGAAATGCCGGGAGCCTCTGGTGCTGCTGTCTTCATGGATCTCACAGACCCTAATCTCCTGGAGGGAATGCAAGCCTGCCCCCACCCAGCAGTTCATTCCTGAACCCCTCACCTTCCCACCCAAGTGAGGAACTCAGCCCAGCTGGGACCCCTCCCTGGCCCTCCTCCATGTCTCCCTGTGTGGGCTGAGTGCCGGCTCACCTCCCTGCTGAGCCGCACTGACCCCTATTTCTCAGCCCACCCTCAGCCAGATCCAGTGGGAAGAGACAGGTCCCTGCTCTCTGCCTCCAACTCTCCTGGAGAAGGCCTCTGCCATTACTCTTGCCCCTGCCGACTCTCACCTCCTTTCTGGCCCTTGATATGAGTCAGGGTCCTCCTGAGGTCCTGCCCATTCTCTGTCAAGTCCTCGGTCTCTGTGTCCCAGGTCTCAGCTCCCCGGACTGCTTCTGCCAACTGTCCACAGGGCCCCTGCCCTGCCTTTCTGTCTGTCATAGAGCAGGAACGGCTGACCATCCAGATGTCCCTCAGCGAGAAACCCTGACTATACAAATCCATCCTGGGACAGCACCGTGAGGTTGTAATGAAGACTGTGGGACCTGGGGAAGAAGAAACCACAGATGAAACTTCTTCCTGGAAATAACTTGACATAGATATTTAACACACAGATCTGCTGCCCCGACCTTCCTGAGGAAGCAGAAGTGGCTAAGTGTTGACAGTTTTGTAGTAATTTACAAGTTGATATGGTTTGGCTGTGTCCCCACCCAAATCACGTCTTCAGTTGTAACTCCCACAATTCCCACCTGTCATGGGAGGAACCTAGTGGGAGGTGATTGAATTTTTGGATGGGTCTTTCCTGCACTGTTCTTGTGATAGTGAATGAGTCTCATGAGATCTAATGGTTTTAAAAAAATGGGAGTTTTCCTGCACGAGCTCTCTCTTCTTGCCTGCTGCCATCCACACAAGATGTGACTTGCTCCTCCTTGCCTTCCACCGTGATTGTGAGGCCTCCCCAGCCATGTGGAACCATTAAGTCCATTAAACCTCTTTCTTTTGTAAATTGCCCAGTCTCAGGTATGTCTTTACCAGCAGTGTGAAAACATACTAATACACAAGTGAAACACATTATACATTTTAATCCATTAAAGACTAGTTAGCAGCACTCACCACAAGCTGATATAAGAGCCTGTGAGCCTTAAGGGAACATTCACTGGTAATGGGTCTGCAAACAGGGGTAGTCTGACTTCCCCTATGCCCTTATTTCTTTCTCTTGCCTTATTGCTGTGGCCAGGACTTCCAATACTCTGTTGAATAGGAGTGGTGAGAGAAGGCATCTTTGTCTTGTGCTGGGTTTCAAGGGGAATGCTTTCCCCATTTGGTATGATGTTGGCTGTTTGTTTGTCATAGATGGCTCTTATTATTTTGAGGTATGTTCCTGCAATACCTAGTTTATTGAGCGTTTTTAACGTAAAGGAATGTTGAATTTTATCAAAAGGCTTTTCTGGATCTATTAAGATAATCATGTGGTTTCTGTCTTTAGTTCTATGTATGTGATGAATCACATTTATTGATTTGCACGTGTTGAACCAATCTTACATCCTGGATATGAAGCCTACTTGATCATTGAGATTAGCTTTTTGATGGACTGCTGGATTTGGTTTGCAAGTACCTTGTTGAGGATTATTACATCAATGTTCATCAAACATATTGACCTGAAGTTTTCTTTTTTTGTTTTGTCTCTGCCAGGTTTTGGTATCAGGATGATGCTGGCCTCATAGAATGAGTTGGGGAGGAGTTCCTCCTTTACAATTTTTTGGGATAGTTTCAGTAGGAATGGTACCAGCTCTTCTTCGTCCATCTGGTAGAATTCAGCTGTGAATCCATCAGGTTCAGGGCTTTTTTTGGTTAGTAGGCTATTTATTACAGATTTAATTTTGGAGCACATTATTGGTCCTTTCAAGGAATCAATTTCTTCCTGGGAGGGTGTATGTTTCCAAGAATTTATCGATCTCTTGTAGGTTTTCTAGTTTGTGTGCATACAGGTGTTCATAGTAGCTTTTGATGGTTATTTTTACTTCTGCAGAGTCAGTGGTAACATCTGTTTTGTCATTTCTAATTATGCTTATTGGGATCGCCTCTCTTTTCTTCCTTATTATTCTAGCTATCAGCCTATCTATCCTATTAATTTTTTCAAAAATCATCTCCTGAATTTGTTGATCTATTGAATTTTTTTGTGTCTTGATTTCCTTCAGAACTTAACTCATTCTTAACATTTCACAGCCCACTTTCAGTTAATAATGTACTAGTTCACATAAATATAGAAATCTTGCAACCATTTATCCTCTATACAACGTCCATCTTTTATGCCATAGATATTATATGTAATATATCTACATAGGTTATAAGCCCCATCAGAAAGCTATCTTATTTTACCTTTAAACAGTTCTATGTATATGAAGTAAGATTAAATGGGGGGGGGAGCAAGATAGCCTTTCGCACTTAATATTTACCACTTCTCACATTCTTCATCTTTTCTGATAATCTCATTTTCCACCTGGTATCATTTGCTTTTAGCCTGAGACACTTTCTTTACCAATTTTTATCGTACAGATCTGCTGGTGACAAATTCTCTTAATTATCTTTTACCTGAAATATCTCCTTATTTTGCATTTATCTTGAAGGACATCTGTACTGGATATAGAATTCTTAGTTGACCTTTTATTTCTTCCAGAACTTTAAAGATGTTATTCTAGTTTATTTTGTTTCTCTGGTTTCTGATGAGAAATCATTGGTCAGGAAAAGAGGAACAGAGGAAGAAAAACTGAGCAAATAACATGACAGACCTAAAACCTATCATATCAATAATGACAAAAACCTATATAAATCAGCACTCCAATTAAGGGCAGAGATTCTGTGACTGGATTAAAAAAAATAACCCAACCATATGCTCTTTTCAAGACATGAACTTTATTTTTTTTAACTTTTATTTTTAGTTCAGGGTACATGTGCAGGTTTTTGTATAGGTAAATTTGTATCATGAGAGTTTGTCATATGTAGGCTCCAGCCCTACAGGACCTGTGGGTTTTTCTCTTTGTGTGTGGAGATGAGAGAGTGTGGAAATAAAGACACAAGACAAAGAGAAGAAAAGAGAGTTGGGCCCAGGGGACCACTACCACCAAGGCACGGAGACTGATAGTGGCCTCGAATGCCAGGCTGCGCTGTTATTTATTGGATACAAGACAAGGGGGCAGGGTAAGGAGTGTGAGCCATCTCCAATGATAGGTAAGGTCACGTGAGTCACGTGTCCACCAGACAGGGGGCCCTTCCCTGTTCGGTAGCCGAGGCGGAGAGAGAGAGGGGACAGTTTATGTCATTATTTCTTCTATGTATTTCAAAGACTTTAGTACTTTCACTAATTTTGCTACTGCTATTTAGAAGGCTGAGCCAGGTGTAGAGGGTGGAACATGAAAGTCAAACAGGAGCATGACCACTGAAGCACAGCATCACAGGGAGACGTTTAGGCCTCCAGATGGCTGTGGGCGGGCTTGACTGATGTCGGGCCTTCCACAAGAGGTGGTGGAGCAGAGGCTTCTCTAACTCCCCCGGGCAAAGGGAGACTCCCTTTCCCGATCTGCTAAGTGATGGTGCCTTCTCAGGCACTGGCGTTACCGCCAGACCAAGGAGCCCTCTAGTGGCCCTGTCCAGGCATGACAGAGGGCTCACACTTGTCTTCTGTTCACTTCTCACCGTGTCCCTTCAGCTCCTATCTCTGTATGGCCTGGTTTTTTCTAGGTTATAATTGTAGAACAAAGATTATTATAATATTGGAATAAAGAGTAATGTCATAAACTAATGATTAGTAATATTTATACATAATCATATCTATATTTTATGTCTAATACAACTATTTTTATTTTAAGTATTTTCTTTATTATACTGGAAGAGCTTGTGCCTTCAGTCTCTTGCCTCGGCACCTGGGTGGCTTGCTGCCCACAGTCATATGGTTTCTGTACCTATTAGTACCCACCCAGGTATTAAGTCTAGCACCCATTCATTATTTTTCTTGATCCTCTCCCTCCTTCCACCCTTTGCCTTCAAGTAGGCCCCGGTGTGTGTTGTTCCCTTCTATATGTCCATATGTTCTCATCATTTAGCTCCCACTCATAAGTGAGAACATGTGGCAATTGGTTTTCTTTTTCTGCATTAGTTAGCAAAGGATAATGGCCTCTAGCTCCATCCATGTTCCTGCAAAGTACATGATCTCGTTCTTTTTTATGGCTGCATAATGTTCCATGGTGCATATGTGCCACATTTTCTTTATCCAGTTCACCATTGATGGGCATTTAGGTTGATTCCATGTCTTTGCTATTGTGACAAGTGCTGCAATGAACATACATCTGCATGCAAAACATGCAATTTCAATATGAAGGCACAGATAAATAAAAATTGATGAAAAAAGCAATGCCATACAAACAGTAAGCACAGAGGATTGAAATGGTTATTTTACTACCAGTAAAAGATTTTCAAATAATATGTATTACCAGAGAGAAAAAGAGGCGCTTCATAATAACAAAAGGGTAAATTCAACAGAAAGACATGCAACCAGAAATGGATCCAATAGCAAATCTTCAGAGTTCATGAAGAAAAATTGACAAAATTACAGAGAGAAGTAGAGAATTCTACAAATATGGTTAGACATTTTAAAGCTTTCTTTCAGCTATAAATACAAAAACTAAGAAAAATTTAGCAAAGACATAGAAAATTGAAAAGCATTATCAAGCACCCAGACTTAATTTATTTATATGCATATGCACATCAATGAAAAACACAATTTATCTGAAGTATGAATGATACATTTACCAGGAGAAACCATATTTCAGGCCATAAAACAATAAATTTGAAAACATTGAAATCATACAGAATATATTTTCTGGCCATAATGGAAATACATTAGAAATCTGTAACAATAAGATGATCTTGTGGGACTGAATGCTTTTGTCATCCTTAAACTCATAATTGAAACCTAATCTCTAATGTGATGGTGTTTGGAGGTTGTGCCATTAGAAAGTGATCATGCAGTGAAGGCAAAACCCTCATTAATAAAATGAATGCCCTTATAAAAGGGACCCCAGATTGCTTGCTCCTTCCACCACGTGGGGACACCAAGAAAAGGCAACATCCATGAATCAGGAAGCAGCCCTCACCATACACTGACTCTTCCCAGGCCTTGATCTTTGACTTCCCAGCCTCCGGCACTGTGAGAAATAGATTTCTGTTTTATGCAAGCCACATAGACTATGGAATTCTTTTATAACTGCCCAGATTGACTAAGATGGACGATCATGAAAATACCAAGGATTGGAAATTAAACCTCAAAATTCTGAATAACAACTTATTCAAAGAGGAAATCACAGGAGAAATTAGAAAGTCTTCTGTTTTCTGAAGAATACTGAAGCACAACATATCAAATGTATGGGATGCAGTTGAAGTAGTGTTAGATATAAAAAGAGTTCCTCTTTAAGGGTTAACTTGCTCAGCATCCTGGCTCTTTGTTCCCTGCTTTCAAGGCCAGACTTCCTTACGCTCTGTATCCCCTGCCCTGGTAAACAAATTTCCCGCCAGTCCTTATCTATGGAGACCACATCCCACTTCTGCTACCCACTCTATAGATTAACCCTCCTGTTGCAACAGCTCCTCCCGCCAAGACTGCACTCTCTGTTGGTATAACCACATTCCTGCACTTTTCAAGTTAGCCAGCCGGGTTCAGCTTAGATTGTGCAGTCCAACTCCAGCCAATGGAGACAAGACACAGTTACAGGGACAAGCTGCATTAAGAGATTATAAAAAACCCCTGCTCTCCTTTGTTCAGGTGTGCACTCGCCATCGTTCCATCATAAATAGCACCCTTTCTGCAGAAGTCAATTGCCTTGCTGAGAGATCCTTTGTCTCAGTGCTGATCTTTCTTTACAACACTGAGCATTTGTTCCCAACAAGTAGTACTGAAGAAAAAACTGATATCCTTAAATGCCTATATTAAGAAAGAAGGTAGGTCTCAAATTAGTAAATTAGTTTCTCCTGTAAGAAGCAAAGAAGAACAAATTAAACCAATGCATGCAGAAGGAAGGAAATAATAATAAAATAAAAAACTGAAGCAGAAAGAGAAAATTAATGAATCCAAATATTGGTTCTATAGGGAAAAATCGTACACCTTACAAATTTCTAGCCAGACTGATCAAGACAAAAACATACACATTAACAAGGTCAGCAATAAAAGAGAGAACATCAGTACACACTCTAGATCTCAAAAAGAAATATTGATAATCTCATGTCAATAAGTTTGACAAGCAAATGAAATGAACAATTTCCTTGAGAGGGAAAACTTATGAAAACTGACCTGAGAAGAGATAGAAAATGTGGTCAGCCATATATTGATTGTAGAAATTGAATTTGTAATCAAAATCCTTCTAATATAGGAAACTCTAGGTCCAGAAGGCTTCACTGATGAATTGTATCAAACATATAATTTAGAAATTACATCAATTTTACACATACCTTTTAGAAATTAAAGTAGGCAGTTTTTTTCAATTCAATCTACGAAGCCAGCTATATTAGTCCGTTTTCACACTGCTGATAAACACATACTCAAGACTGGGAAGAAAAAGAAGTTTAATTGGACTTACAATTCCACATGGCTCGGATGGTCTCAGAATCACGGCAGGAGGTGAATTTTTTTACGTGGCAGTGGCAAGAGAAAATGAGTAAGATACAAAAGCGGAAACCCCTAATAAAATCGTCAGGTCTTGTGAGCCTTATTCAATACCACAAGAACAGTATGGGGGAAACTGCCTCCATGATTCATATTATCTCCCACTGGGTCCCTCCTACAACATGTAAGAATTATGGGAGTATAATTCAAGATGAGATTTGGGTGGGGACACAGAGCCAAACCATATCATTCCACCCCTGGCCCCTCCAAATCTCATGTCCTCACATTTCAAAACCAATCATGCCTTCCCAACAATCCCCCAAAGTCTTTCCTCATTTCATCATTAACCCAGAAATCCACAGTCCAAAGTCTCATCTGAGACAAGGCAAGTCCCTCCCACCTATTAACCTGTAAAATCAAAACCAAGCTAGTTACTTACGAGATACAATGGGGGTACAGGTATTGGGTAAATACAGCCATTCCAAATGGGAGAAATTGGCCAAAACAAAGGAGTTACAGGGCCCATGCAAGTCCTAAATCCAGTGGGGCAGTCAAATTCTAAAGCCCCAAGATGATCTCCTTTGACTCCATGTCTCACATCCAGGTCATGCTGATGCAAGAGGTAGGTCCCCATATCTTGGGCAGCTCTGCCCCTGTGGCTTTGCAGGGTATATGTTCCCTCCTGGCTGCTTTCACAGTCTGGCGCTGAGTGTCTGTGACTTTTCCAGATGCACAGTGCAAGCTGTTGGTGGATCTACCATTTTGGGGTCTGGAACATGGTGGCCCTCTTCTTACAGCTCCACTAGGCAGTGCCCCAGTAGGGACTCTGTGTGGGGGCTCCAGCCCCACGTTTCCCTTCCACACCGCCCTAGCAGAGGTTCTCCATGAGGGCCCTGCCCCTGCAGCAAACTTTTGCCTGGGCATCCTAGCATTTCCATACATCTTCTGAAATCTAGGTGGAGGTTCCCAAACCTCCATTCTTGACTTCTGTGCACCTGCAGGCTCAAAACCACATGGAAGCTGTCAAGGCTTAAAGCTTGCACCCTCTGGAGCCATGGACCAAGCTGTACCTTGGCCCTTTTTAGCAACAGTGGGAGCATCTGGGATGCAGGGCACCAAGTCCCTAGGCTGTACATAGCATGGGGACCCTGGGCCCTGCCCATGAAACCATTTTTTCCTCCTATGCTTCTGGGTCTGTGATGGGAGGGGCTGCCATGAAGACCTATGGCATGCCCTGGAGACATTTTCCCCCTTGTCTTGGGGATCAACACTTGGCTTGTTGTTACTTATGCAAATTTCTGCAGCCAGCTTGAGTTTCTCCTCAAAAAATGGGTTTTTCTTTTCTACTGCATTGTCAGGCTGTAAATTTTCTGAACTTTTATGCTCTGTTTCCCTTTTAAAATGGAATGCTTTTAGGAGCACCCAAGTCACTCTTTGAATGCTTTGCTGCTTAGAAATTTTATCTGCCAGATACCCTAAATCATTTTAAGGAAAGGCTAGCATGGGGAAGAAGAAGAGAGACGAGAAGAAAAGAGCTCCCTGCTTCTAGTGAGCAAAGGCCGCCGCCCGAGCTTCTTAGCCCTTCATATTTATTGGGTAATAAGGGCAAGGAGGAGGAGGTAATGATTGGTCAGCTGCTTAATTGATCACAGGTTCATATTGTTACTGGCAGGCTTCAATTGTGGCAAATCATAAGAAACATTCTTGCGGCCTCCAACATCTACTCCTTTTTGTTTTAAAATTAATTGAGCAAGGTAATTGCAGGCTGTGCAGCTCTTAATTGCCGGTTGGTGATCCAGCTTCATTTTTCTTAGCCCTTATTCAAAATGGAGTTGCTGTGGTTTGAATGCTTCTTACATATCTCCCCCTTCCCTTTTTACAGGAGGACCCTTAATCCTAAGGGTTGCAGAAGGATGAAGGTCTGTCTTCTGCAACTTCTTCATGCTGAATAAGGGCGATGATATTCCTGCCTAACTATTAGGGTCTCTTGTATTCAGGGTAGAGAGGAGCTGAGTCAGAAAGCATTGGTCCATTAAACACCGATTGTACTTCTGAGTTCCAGCAAAAGGTGACACCCTGGCACTCCAGCAGTTTCTCAGCTTCCTGTGTGGTTTTCTTGATCAGTCCCCATGTTATGGGGGTTGATGTCAGCATGACTCTGGTCAGTCGTCGTTCCATCTTCGCATTCAGATTCAACTGGCTCATGGCTTGTACTGGGGGAACCAGGTCCAGGTTTGGGATCCATGGGTCCCTCCAGTCTTCCATTCCAAGATGCACCTTGGAAAAAGAGACAAAAATCACTAGCATCTGTGGCTCACGCTTTTTCCTAAAAGGGTTTTGAGGACTTCAGTACTTACAGGGGAAAGAGCAGGCAGAAGGGGAAAAACAGTCAATTATGCATTCATCTTGTGCTCAGTAAATCTGAATTTTACATAAGCTAAAGTAAACATAGAGTAGTAAAATATGTGTTTGTCTCCGGGTGGGTGAAGGGATGATTTCTAGTCTTGTCTTTGTCCTGTACCTGTGAAGATAAGCTGTTAATTTACATTGTCAGGGGGAAAGTCAACAAAACTCTGTTTTAGGGTAAAGATGTTGGGGCCCACAAGGACTTACATTGTGAGCAGTTTGTGAGGGAGGCCACCTGGGGAGATATGTGGTCCTCTATCTTTGCAGGTATTTGTTTAGGAACAAAAGAAAGGCAGTTTTTCCATGACTCAGTTCCCAAACTTAACTTTTCCCTTTGGCACTGTGAGTTTGGGGTCCCAAGATTTTATCTTTCTTTCACACTCAGTATTGCAGTTTATTATTGTCATAGCTTAAATCAGCGGTAATCATAGCTTACCTCAACCTATTTGGCACCAAGTACTGGTTTCATGGAATAAAATTTTTCCACTGACCAGGGCAGGCGGCACAGGTAGGCGGGGATGGGTTTCGGGATGAAACTGTTCCACCTCAGATGATCAGGCATTGGAGTCTTATAAAGGAGCGTGCAGCCTAAATCCCTCGCATGCACAGTTTACAATAGGGTTCGTGCTCCCATGAGAATCTAATGCCACCACTGATCTGACCAGAGGCGGAGCTCAGGCGGTCATGCTCATGCTTTCTCGCCCACCCTTCACCTCCTGCTGTGCGGTCTGGTTCCCAACAGGCCACAAACCTGTACCGGTCCACTGCAGGGGAGTTAGGGACCCCTGGTTTAAATTATGCCACTATAACAGAACACCTGAGACTGGATAACTTACAATGAACACAAATTTAATTGGCTCATGGTTGTCGAGGATGGGAATTCCAAAATCAAGGGAATGTATCTGGCAGAAGGGAGAAGCGCAAGAGAGGGTGAGAGCTAGAGGGAGTAAGAGGTCGAACTCACAGGCTCAGGTCTTTTATGATCAGCATTAATGAGGGCAGCCTTGATCAGTTCATTAATGAAGGCAGAGCTCTGATGGTCCAATCACCTCTCAAAGTTCCCATCTCTTAACGTTGTTGCACTGGGGATTAAGTTTCCAACAGACGCTTTTCTGGGGAAACATTCAAACAATAGCAGTTGTAAAGGATACAAATGAGCAGGCAGATGAAGTGCAGGAGGCGACGTCTGGAAGCACTCTGAGCACACGACCCTCTGTCCCCATGGAGACGGGGTGCACCATCATTGTCAAGAGACAATATCATCTCTTGCTTATACCTCTTTTTTTTAGGAGTTCATGTAACATTGGATTTTCCTCATTACACAACCCATTTATTCATTCATTTACCCTCAGCTACTATTCCTCCTTCTACTTCATTTATACCAAACATTAATAGTTTTGGAAGAAACATTAAGTTCTGCTGCTGTGCTGGCCTAGACTGAAGGGAGCAATACTGTTCTAGCAAGTGTCTCTCGTTGGTCCATTCCAGTTCATAGAGGGTAGGGTTATGCAGGTAGAGAACTAGTTGGCTATCTGACCCCAGGCAATACAGCAGCATTCAGTGTTAGCCCCAACTTTGCCAGATGCAGTGAAGGCACAACCTGTTCCTCCAGGCCCTCAGGAATTCTTGCATAATGGTTTTAAAATATATTTACACTTTCTTGCTTAGGAATAATTCCTGTTTTGGCACTTTTATATGCATCCCTTGTCCTAAGACCACTGAATCAGGTATGAGAAAGGCGAGTTGAGGTGAAGTCTAGTCATCATTCCAGTGTCCTCTTGTCATGGGAAAAATCGTATGTCAGGTCATACTAGCACCTTTCCCTGATCCAGCAGGAAAAAAGAGGACACTCTCTAGTGGGGACACTCCTTTTTCCACACTCATGTCTGGTGTGAGCCCACTCATGAACGTGTGTAAGCCCGCCCTTCATGCTTATGTCTCCCCGCTCCTGCTTTATACAAGTAATGTGTCATTTGACTATTTTTATTCTCTATGAAACTATTCCTCTGAGCAAAATATTTTTCTGAACATTGTTGGACATTTTGGGCAAATGTGTTTCCTGGTGTGAAGAAATGTGACTCAGTGATGCAAATGGTTGCAATATCTCCCGTCCAGGTTCTATTATAGTGCTCTAAGCATTTGCATCTGAGATGAAGTAGGGATTTATCTTAGAAGCCTGCTAGACCTCCCTAACATGGAAATAAAGGAAAATGTTGAGTTCCTTCAAGAGAAATTCCAGGCACCTAGCCAGCCCTGAAAAGCAAGTGAGTGACCTTATAAGCAAGCAGGTAAAAATAGCTTAAACAATAGCCAAGGAAGTTAGAGTCCCAAGATGTTTGATTCTCTATAGAAACTAAAGAGAACATCTTAACATATGTCCTTGAGTAGTTTTTCAGGAACCCAGACTCTCACCAAACAGAGCCACTGATAGGGAGACCTCAGATAAGGGGAAAATGAGGACTCAATGCTGACTGTGACTCTTTGTTCTAAATTTTTTCCTGAGGGGCCTGGAAAGAGTCAGGTCCACAGAGCAGACCTGAACATTCCTCCCTACTGCCCCTAAGTGTGTAGACAAAGCTTTGGCTCCTTATCCAATCACAAATCAGAGAATCTTTCAATCCACCTATGACCTGTATGATCCCTCATCAGGATATCCCACCTTTTTAGGCCAAACCAGTGTGTAATTTCTATGCATTGATTTTTGATGTTGCCTGCAACTCGGCTTTGCTGAAATTTACTCCTGCCTTAAAAACTCTTGCTTGTAAGCCATTGGGGAGGTTAGGTCTTAAGTGTGAGCTGCCCGATTCTCCTTGCTTGGTGCCTTGGAAATAAACGCCTTCCTTTCTCCCACTACAAAATCTCAGTGTGGATGTTTGCCTTTATTGCACCAGGTGAGTGGGCCCCAGTTCAGTTTGATAACACATCTACCACCAGCTAAGCAATGCTTACTCCAGGGTCAGTATCTATTCCTGCCAAGACCCATTTGCTGCCTCCTAGGGGTACTGGTATCAGTCTAATTTGCCAGCTATCTATTTTCAAGACCTTCCCATGAGAGAATTTGCTACATAGCCATATGCTGTCTCTGTCTCTTCTTAAACAGAACAGTCCTTATGGGTATTTCGTGCCTGTGAGTTGGAGGATGTAAAAGGAATATATCTTGATTCAGCCTATCTCTGCATTGCTGCAGCCCTCAGTGTCTACTTATTTCACGGACCCAGGTGATCACCACAAGCAAACGTGGATTTTTTTGAGATGTGGTATTGATATTTTTCCCTGGACTCAAAAGTTGCTCAGGCAAAACTAAGACTCCTGGGCTCAAGAGATCCTTCTGCCTCAGTTCTTCTTGTAGCTGGAATTACAGGTACACCTGGAAAGCACTTAGAAATAAATGCTTGTTGATTTCAATCACCTTCCAAACCTGGAGGAGGGTTATTCTGAGGGGCATTGAACTAATTGAACTATTCTGAGGGAATGGTACTAAACGATTCATGAGAAGCCACCCCCATGATGCAATCACCTCCCTCCAGGCCTCACCTCCAACACTGGGGATTATATCTCAACATGAGATTTGGGTGGGGACAACACCCAATTTATATCAGACATCAACATGTCTTACATTAATGCACCCCTCAAATTACCATAGTGATTTCCACAGGACTGTGTCCTATACGGGTATTCTTTTCATAGGCCAGTTTTCCATTGTTCTCTTAATTATATGGCCAGGCCATCAGTCAATGCCCATAAGTCAGTAAAAACTAAGACATAGGGACTTTTGTCATTGTTCAATTCTTTCATCACTTCTCAGAAAACATCATGCAATTCAACCAAAAAAAAAAAAAAAAACTGTCCTGTTTTTAACTTCTTTGATCAAAGGGGTAGACTTCCAAACAGGATGTTGTCCACTCATCTTGCAAATGCTGTACACAAACCAACCAGCTCTTTGTGGGTCAGTTGACTGATATTGCAGTTCAAATCCCAGGATGTCTGCTGCAGAGTTCCATCTTATTTAGGGAGGGTCACATTATAAAGGTCAAACTACTTTACTCAAAGCCTAGCAATTATCAGGTTCAAGCGATTCTCCTGCCTTAGTCTCTTGAGTAGCTGGGATTACAGGCACCTGTCATCACGCCCAGCTAATTTTTTTGTATTTTTAGTAGAGATGAGGTTTCACCATGTTGGCCAGGCTGGTCTTGAACTCCTGACCTCAGGTGATCTGCCCATCTCGGCCTCCCAAAGTGCTGGGATTACAGGCATGAGCCACCGCGCCTGGCCACTCTTCATTATATAAAATATAAGACAGTCTGTCCTCCATGTCTGTGTGTTCCACATCTGTGAATTCAACTACCTGAGGATTGGAAATGTTATGTTGCTGCTGTTGTGTACTCTGTAGTTAGGCCTACTGACAGTGGTTACATCTGTACTGAAGATGTACAGACATTTTCTTGTCGTTATTTCCTAAACAATATAGTATAACTACTGTTTACAATCATGTACATTGCACTAGGTATTGTAAGTAATCTAGAGATGATTTAAAGTATATGGGATGATATGCATAGGTAGTAGGCATATAGTAGGCCATTTTATACATGGGACCAGAGAATCCACAGATTTTGGTATCCACAGGGGTCCTAGAACCCAGCCCAAAAGGATACCAAGGGATGACTATATAGGACTGACATTCCTTTTTTAAGTTTTTGAAAGAATTGATGGGAGGAAATGTGGTAAGAAGTTTTTCTGGTGGGAAGGAATTTAATTAAAATTCAATTTCTTAATGGATAGAGGACTATTTATATTTTCTACTTAGTTTTCTGTTGGCTTTGTTCAACTGTGTTTTTCAAGAACTCATTTCATTGCACCTAAATTTTAAAAGGTATTGTCATGAAGTTGTGTCTAATATTCTCTTATTTTCATTTTAATAAAATATGTGGTTTTATAAGTTGTCCCTTCTCACAGTGTTCATTCGTGTTTTCTCTCTTTGTATGATTGATCTTTCTGGGGATTATGAAATAGTTTGCCCATGATTTCCTCTATTATCCTTAACATATTAATCATAAATATTTTGAAGAATGTCCTTGCTCGCTGGCTTCAGTATCCAGATCATCTGAGTCGGCTTCTGTTGATTATTTTATCTCCACTTGTTGCATTTTTTTCTGCTGCTTGGCATGCCACATATTCTGGGTGATGTGTTACAGAGGTTCTGGATTTTGCTATCTTCCTGCTAAGACTGCTAACTGCTTGACGGTTCATTAATTATCATAAAAATCAGACCCACTTTGATTCTGCTTAGGCTTGATTTTAGCTTTTGTTAACATGAGTCTAGTTCAGTGCAGTCCTTACTCCAAGGCAAGGGTCCTCACTCATAGTGCTTCACCACCCTGTTGGCTCAACCCAGGTTTGGCTGGGCTAAAATTCCAACATCTCCTCATACTCTGAAGCCTTTGGCATTTCTACTTAGCATGCAATCTCCAAGCAACTGTTCTCTGGTGGGCTTCTTAGAGTATCACCTGAAGCATATGCAGCTTAGGAGTGCAGATTTTGGGGGTTTCTTCTCTGTAGTGACATTGTAGGTGACACTGTACATCATAGTACAATGCATTAATGATATGTTTGTGGTGATGCTGGTGTAAACAAACCTACTGCACTGTCAATCCTATAAAAGTCTAGCACATACAGTTATGTACAATACATAATCCTTGATAATGATAATAAATGACTATGTTACTGGTTTACATATTTACTATACTTTTTATTGTTATTTTAGAGTGTGCTCCTTCTAATTATTAAAAAAACTTGAAACAGCCTCGGCCAGGTCCTTTAGGAGGTATTCCAGAAGAAGGCATTGTTATCATAGGAGATGGCAGCTCCATGCATGTTATTACACCTGAAAATCTTCCAGTGGGACAAGATGTAAAGGCTAAAGATAGTGATATTGTTGATCCTAACCCTGTGTCAGCCTAGGCTAATTTATGTCTTTTTTTTTTTAACAGAAAAGATTTAAAAGTAAAAAAAAAATTAAATAGAAATAAGTTTCTAGAATGAAAATATAAGGAACAATATTTTTGTACAGCTTTGTAACATGTTGGTCTTTTAAGCTAAGTGCTATTACAAAAGCTGAAAAGTTTTAAAAATTAAAGTTTATAAAGTTAAAAAAGTTACATTAAGCTAAGGTTAATTTATTATTAAAGAAAATTATTTTTAAAATCAATTTAGTGTAGCCTAAGTGTACAGCATTTATAAAATCTACAGTAGTGCACAGTAATGGCCTAGGCCTTCAGTTCACTCACCACTCACTTGCTGACTCACCCAGAGCAACTTCCAGTCCTGTAAGCTCCATTCATGATGAGTAACCTATATAGGTGTGCCATTTTAAAAATCTTTTTACCATATTTTTACTGTACTTTTTCTGTTTACATATGTTTAGATCCGCAAATACCTACCATTGTGTTACAATTGCCTACAGTACTCAGTATAGTAATGTGCTATCCAAGTTTGTAGCCTAGGAGCAATAGGCTTTATGATATAGCGTAGGTGTGCAGTAGGCTATATCATCTAGCTTTGTGTATGGACACTTTATGATGTTCACGTAAGACCAAATCACCTAAGGACACATTTCTCAGAACCTATCTTATCATTAAGAAAGAATGACTATATATGTAATGTAAGTCCTTTGAAGTTTAAGCATTTTCACTTTCATATATTTGTCTCATTTAAGAAATATTTTCCATTCCAGCAGGTACAGCTAAAAAAAAAGAAAAAAGAAAAAAAGAAAAATTTTCTTACTCAAATGTTTTAAGGTTATCCTCCTAATAACATTGGTAGTAGTTTTATTTTTTCATATTTGTCTTTACCGCTTATATAATTTTTTGTTTATCTCAAGGTGTAGAGATATAATTTAATCATAGGGTGTTTAGTAAAATATCAATGCTGGGAAAGGGCTTAGGAGATAATGATGAATCAAAACACAGCACAAAGGCCAGGTACTGTGGCTCACTCCTGTAATCCCAGCACTTTGGGAGGCCAAGGAGGGTGAACCACTTGAGCCCAGAGGTTCTAGACCAGCCTGGGAAACATACTGAGACCTCGTCTCTACAAACACATGTCAATCAATGCAGCATAATAGAGAATCTGGAAATAAATCCATATATTTACAGCCAACTGATTCTTGACAAAGGTGCCAAGAACATACATTTGGGGAAAGGACACCCTCTTCAATAAATGGTGCTGGGGAAATTGGATATCCACATGCAGAAGAATGGAATTAGATCCCTATATCTCACCCTATATAAATATCAACTCAAGATGGATTAAATACTTAGACATAAGACCCAAAACTATAAAACAACTGGAAGCAAACATATGAGAAACATTCTAGGACATTGGTCTGGGTAACGATTTTATGGCTAAGACTTCAGAAGCACAGACAACCCAAACAAAATAGACAAATGGGACTATAATAAACTAAAACGCTTCTGCGCAGCAAAGAAAACCATCAAAAGAGTAGACAGACAACCTGTTGAATGGGAGAAAATATTTTCAAACAATTTATCTGACAAGGGACTAATATCCAGAATATGTAAGGAACTCAAGAGCTAAAAAAACCAAAAAATTCTATTAAAAAGTGGACAAACGACATGAATAGACATTTCTCAAAAGAAGACATACAAATGGCCAGCAGGTACATGAAAAATGCTCAACATCACTTATCATCAGGGAAATGCAAATCAAAACCACAATGAGATATCATCTTACCCCCAGATAGAATGGGTACAACTAAAAAGACAAAAAAAAACAAACAAACAAATAGATGTTTGTGAGGATGTGGAGAAAAGGGCACTCTTACACACAGTGTGTAAAACTAGTACAGCAACTGTAAAAAACAGTATAGAGAGTTTTCAAAACACTGAAAATAGAATCACTGTATTATCAAGCAATTTTGGGGTGGGGCTACAGGGTCCTGGAGTTCAGGTTGGCAGAGAGCAGGGCCTGGAGGTGCTTGGGAGGCCGGAGGAGAAGGAAAGAGGCAGATGCCTGGGTCCCAGGGTATCGAAGTGGGGAGGGTCTGGGGCAAGAGGTAAATGGGCGAATTCTTGAGATCCATTGAGAATCCATGGTCAGCCCTTGAGATCCAAAGAAAGGGGTCAGAAGCTTGGGCCAGGCTCACCGCTGAGCTCTTTGTAACCCCTTTGTAACCCATGACCACCTTCAGACTCCCAGCTAAGTAAGTCTTTGACCCTCCAAGAACAACATCTCCTTGGCTGCCAGCAGAGGGACCTGCTCTCTGCCCATGACCCCAGGGCCCCTGGGCCTGGCATGGCAGCTCCTGCTGTCAAAGGCAAAGAAGAGGCAGCCGTCCAGCTAGCCCAGTGCTATGACTGCAGGCTTCCTGGGGGTGGACTCTGATAGGGCCTTAAGATCCTAGCTCAGAAAGCGGGACCCTGAAATTCCCAGGGCTGGGCCCCTTAGCACCTGTATAGCAGCTCTCTTCTCCTCAGAACCCTAGAAACTCTCTCCCACTCTACACACACCTGCACGCACACACATCAACACAAACACACACATTCCTAACAGGATGTTTTCCATTTTTCTCTCCTCCCTGGCTCCTTTCACTCTCTTTCTCCCCCCTTGCCCCCTTCTCTTATGATCCATTTCTTCTCTCTTCTGCTCTCTGGAGGTTCCCTTCTTCCTGGACCGAGGCACTAGGAGCTGCTGTCCCTGGACCCCAGGGTTGGAGGCTAACAGGCTGATTCCTGGGATGAGCAGCCTCTAGCAGCAGGAACAAAGGAGGGGACGGGAGGCCAAGGCCCCATCTGGAGGCTGAGGGACTGGGTCCTGTGGCAGCAAGGATTTGGGGGTGTGTCATCCCCACATCTGATCCCACTGTTTTGCCCTGGAGGCCTCTCTCTGCTCTGAGGCAAAAGTCCAGTCACTCAGTGGTGAGAGGAAATGTCATTGTCAACATGGATTTTGGGAAGCTGAATGGACTCAGAGCCTGACTTGAGACCCGGAGGCTCCTTGAGTGCAGAGCCCTGTCCAGGTGCTGGGAGCAGAGGGAGAGCCTCGGAGGTCCTGGTTGGTGAGAAAGGGGAGCGGGGTCCGGTCCTCTGTCCTCGTCCCTGTGGCCACACGGGGGCGCCGCCGCGCTGCTCTCGCATTCTGATTGAGCGCTCTCAGGCACTGGGTGAGGGCTGAGTGGGGCAGAAGGGGCGGAGCCTGAGGTCATCCACGCGGGAATGCAGGTTCCTCCTAAGCAGCCCTGGAATCCACAGACTCAGGCTAGATTTGCTTGTCTTGCAACGTGAGGCAATTGTGGAGCAGCAAGATCTGGCTCTAGAATTCTCACCGCGAATGCGGTTCTTATAGAATCCAACCTGAATGAGAGGCCAGGGCCTGAGCTGACTGCCCTGGGCACACCTGGCTTTGATGGGGTTGCCAAAATATAACTGGCACTTACAGAAATTTCAATGATTGTCGAAAAGTCCATATAATTATATACAATTTCATTTCTGATGTCTCTGGCTGTGCCTTTGAAAGGGCATAAAGAGCCATGGAAAGAGGCTGAAAGGCTCCTCTGGGAATTTTCAAATCCCTTTTCATAGCAGCAACTTGGTCTAGCCCAGTGCTATGACTGCAGGCTTCCTGGGGCTGGACTCTGATAGGGTCTTAAGGTCCTAACTAAGAAAATGGGACCCTGGAACTCTCAGGGCTGGGCCCTGAAGAAACACAGGGAGAAGGATCTGGAGGCGCAACCCTCCCTTCTGATCAGCACGGGCAGGGCTGTCTGAGCGCGTTTCCCCTCTGTGTTCAGCAGGATCGACTTTGCAGTGAGGCGCAGCCCCTGTCTCCCTGGGGGCCTCAGGTCCACACATCCTTCCACTGCCGCATGTCAGAAGCATCTGTTTCCTTTATTTTGTTTTCCACAGACTTCTTTCTTTTTTCTGTCCTTGACCACTAATACAACACAGGCAAGATCCTATAAGACCAGGTAAAAGATGTTACTGATAATAGTGAAGGCATGGTTGTGAAGGGACAATGGCAGATACAGACAGAGCCAGAGACAAAACAGAAAGGCAGAACAGAGATAGAAACACACACAGAAAATGAACATCCATCCGTCCATCCAACCATCCATCCATCCATGCATTCATCCATGCATGCATCTGTCTGCTCTCTACCTTTCTATCTCCTTACAAGGGAGGTACATCAACACTTTTACATTCATTTCCCAACAAAAATCACAAGATTTTCCTTGTCGGCTCACACCTGCCCTCCTTCATCCAGCCAACTGATGTGTTTGCTGAGGTCTTGCCACATGCCACACTGGGTGCTGAGCTTTGGGGTCTGAACAGTAACAGACCTCTGTGATGCACTCACACGGGGCCCTTTACTGTCCTGTCCTTGGCTATGAGACATCCTCATGTCCCTGAAGCTCTTCTTTCTGCTTCTTGGATAAAGTCCCTGACCACCTCCCTACTGGCACCCAGGAGACTCTGACATCCTGGAACACCAGTATCTTTCATCAAACACTGACTTACAGCATTTATCCTGTGTCTGTCACTCACTACATACCCTTTTGATGATTTTCTCATTTAGAGATTGTTAAAAAAGGATGTGATTGTAACCTCAGACAAGTGTAATAGAATAGTAAAATAAGGAACTCTGTGAAAAGGGCTTTTTCTGCTTTCTCCCAGAACATCTCATTTGCATCTGTGTTTGGCTGGATGAAAAGTGGCTTCCATATCCCCTGACATAATGCAACAAGCAGAAACACTTGCTCAGTAAACAAGTACTTCGGAAAATGCAGGGTCTTGAACACTGCCCTCAGGGCTCCACACATCAGAAGGACATATATATCTTTCCTTCAACCCCAGAGATGCCCAGGGGCTGCATGTTGGCTCCTCACTGGTCTTACTCATGTCCTACTGGAAGAGGACGGTGCTTCTCTGGAAATGTCAGAGTGGTGTGGGACAGCCAGTTCCTCTGTGTGCCCTGCAGGAAAACAGACAATTCAGCTTTTCAATCCCACTCAGTATCTGAAAATAAACTGGGTTTTCAATGTATTCCCCTCCAGAGAGTAAATTGCGGAGGAAACATGTTCAAACGCACACTTAATTATTTTCCGAGTCAAGAATGTAAGTATGAGGCCCTTTAAGACGAGTTAAGAGAAGTTCCTGACCTCAAATTTCATGTGGAAGTTATAAGATGGAGCTGGAAGCATCTGTCCTTACCTCTGGGTATAAAGTTGGGACCCCGCGGGAGGCAGTCAGCCACAGTTAGGGCACCAAGCAAACCCTCAGGAAGGACTCGGTCCACGCAGGAGCCTCCCTAAGCAGCTTCTCCCTGAAGAAAACCTGAAGTCTTAGAAATCCAAGAAGAACAAAGATATTCATGTCTCTGATAAGGAAAATGAAATGCCAGCAATCCAGCACTGAGAAGGGAAGCTACGAGACCACATTTTCTGCACGTGGAGAAGACATGTTTAATGGAGAGGTGGGAACTTGTCTCAAAAGTGTTGCGCTGCCGTGAGAACGTGTGGTCATCACTGCCACCACCCGCTGCTCGCTCAGTGGCCTCTGCCCATTGTAACTAATGGGCCAATGAATAGAAACACTTTTCACCTTCCTCTCCTGCAATAAGGCTATTAAAATAAATCATCTCCTCTGGTTGATTTTTCACTTAGGGAAAAAATAACTGGGGTAATGCATGCCCGTAGACCAGGTTTTAAAGAAGTTCTCAGAAAACCCTGAGACAGTCTCCAGAAGGCTCATCCAGCAGAAACGAGGCCTTGCACTTCTGCCATCCCGTGTGTCACCATGATGGAGTTTGCCCAGCTAGGGATGGCAAGAGGCCAAGTCATCACAGGTGATCTGCAGGCCTGGTGAGGAAGGACAATGACAGACGGGAAGGAGGAAATGCACACACACGACCAGACCTCCTGCCATTCCTTTGTCCATTGGTCTTGCTCTGTCTTTCACTCTCTGAAATTTTGTTGTCATGAGTCTTGGTGTGGGTCTGTTTCCATCTCCTGTATTGAGAACTTTGTTGCAGCCATTCACACTATACATTTTTGTCAGTAGCCTTCAAAACATTTTCTTGAATTACTTTTAATTACTTTCTATGGTTATTGGAACTTATATTATGAGACTGCTGGAATTCCTTAATTGATAGTATAATATTCTTAAAGTTCTATCATGCTTGGCATCACGTTTTTATTTTGTACTACCTTGCAGCACACAACTTTCATTTCAGTTCATTTTTTAAACTCTTTATTTCAATGATCATATTTTAAAATTCCAGAGCTCTTTCTAGTTCTCTGCATGAAATTGTTTATAAATTTGTTCAAATCTCATAACTGCTGTTTTCTTACATCTTTCACACATAATTGGTAATAGTGGTAGGGACCCATTAGGTCTCCTTGTAACCTGCTTTCATGATATCACAAACTTTTCCCTTACGCTCATTAGCAATTTCACAATCTTGGGGCAATTTTTGCTAAATATTTATCTTCCTTACAATATTGAAAACTCCCCATCTCCAAGATTTTACTCTTGCTCTTCATTATATCCTCAAGTGCTTAGCAGATCTCCTGATCACTGGAAATACACCCTGGATGAACGGACTTCTGCGTGAATTTGGCAGTTAAGTCATTGCCCTTCTTGTCTTCCTGAGCTCTGAGCCAGTGGCCTCCTGTCCATAGAACATTCTGGGACATCAAAACAGTTCACTTGTGTAAGGTGCAGATGAAGAGAGAATCAATGGAAGACAAGTCAACAAGGCCTCTGAGAGAAAATCTCCAGGGTTCAACCCTAGCCCCACCACCTTCTTTACCTCTCTCCTTCCCTGTCTGTACAAAGGATCACATATTGAGTTCCCCATGGGTTTGCATTGAGGATTAAATCTGACTCTCTATGTAAAGCCATGGCATTATTTTCTGAGTCATACTAAATGCTCCATTATTGATAACTATCATCACTATATTCATTACAATCTTTGGGTTATTTCCATTATTTTGCTTTTATAAACCACAATTCAAGGAACATTCTTATATATGTGGTTTTTTTGTTTTTGTTTTGGGACAGAGTCTCGACCTGTCACCCAGGCTGAAGTGCAGTGACATGATCGCAGCTCACTGCAACCTCCACCTCCCGGGTTCAAGCAATTCTTCTGCCTCAGCCTCCCGAGTAGCCGGAACCACAGGTGTCTGCCACCACGCTCGGCTAATTTTTGTAGTTTTTAGTAGAGACGGGGTTTCACCATGTTGGCCAGGCTGATCTTGAACTCCTGACCTCGTAATCCACCTGCCTCGGCCTCCCAAAGTGCTGGGATTACAGGCATGAGCCACCGCGCCCGGCCTATATATGCGTTTTTAGAAAGATATGTAATTATTTCCTTGGGATAAATTCCTAAAAGAGAAATTTTCATGTCAAAATGTCAGAACACTTAGGCCCGGCGCAGTCCCTCACCCCTGTAATCCCAGCACTTTGGGAGACCAAGGCGGGTGGATCACTTGAGGTCAAGGATTTGAGATGAGCCTGGCCATCATGGTGAAACCCCATTTCTACTAAAATTACAAAAATTAGCTGGGCGTGGTGGCACGCACCTGTAGTCCCAGCTACGCGGGAGGCTGAGGCAGGAGAATCGCTTGAACCCAGGAGGTGGAGGCTTCAATAAGTCAAGATTGTGCCACTGCACTCCAGCCTGGGCGACAGAGCAAGACTCTGTCTCAAAAACGTCAGAACATTTAAATTATTGAGACATTTTGCAAAAGTGCCCTTTAGAAGTTTTGTACCACTTTTCAATGCCATCAGTCTTCGTAACAGTACATTTTCCCTGTACTCTGATCAATACTACCATCATTTACTTCTGTCTTTGCCAAGCTGATGGATTTTAATTCTGGTTCCCATTTTGTAGTCTACATTCTTATTTTTTGCACATATTTATTACTAATATAACTATATGACATTTCTTAATCATTTCTCAAACGTAATGCTGATATTTTTAAATATTGAATTTAATCAAGAAAAAGCAGCCCCTAATATCTGGGAACTTGTCTGGCACAGCTGGGCATCAGTGTTGCCAGGAGCTGGTCTGGTCTTCACTACTGGGCCATATTAGTCCCTCTGGGACATAAATTATATCACAAAATACCAACACCACACTGGATCACTCTCAGCCCATGAGAAAGTGAGGCGAAACAAAAGTACTTCATAATTTTGTCTAAACCCTCTCCCGGCTAGTATGAGTGGCTGATGCTTCTCTACGGATTAAGCTTTATCTGCACTCTAGTCCACCCTCCCTAAAGGTAAGATTTATTGAAATACCGAATTGTAGAATTGCCTCTGCTTACTGACAGTACTAAATCTAGAGCAATAAAATAAAATAGAATTTCTCAACTGTGTTATCTGTATTTTCTTTTTTTCCTTATTCTCATGCTCTGGCATCTGAGTCCTCACTGATTGTGAGGACTCCCCTCCCAAGACTAGTCTATTCCTACAGATACTAAAGGGATTGACCGCAAATGCGCCTTTCTTATGCAAACTAACCAAACCAGAGCCCAAACTCAGAATGAGTTCTTTTTTTCTGGCTGTCACATGGCCCCGATACTCCCAGTCAATATTCTCCTGTCTTAATAATCTGAGAGACAGGTATCAGACAACTAGAGACAATCCCCATGCCTCAGAGTCACCAAGATTATTCAGACTCATCAATACTGAACATGTCTACACTGCTTACCCTGCCTTGCTCATTCATTCCCCTAAAAACCACATTAGAGGCTCTCGCCCATGCTTTCCCCTCCCGTTGCCACTTGACCAGCCTTGGTGCTGCCTGTTGTGCTGTGCTTCCTATGTCAGTGGGTAATAAACTCTTTTTTCAGTGGCATAGACCTCTCTGTGTCATCATTCAGTCATAACTACTAATTAATTAAATCCCAGGGAAACTTGAAATACCAGCTGAAGCCCAAATATTATAATAGGCTCTATCTAAAAGGCACTTACCAAGATACTCGGTAGTTATCCAAGGTGTGCATTCTCCCTCCCACTGCAGTGAGTAATAAACCCAACTTCTTCACCCACAGATGTGCTCCAGGTGGCCTTGGGCTGAAGGGTATTAACACATTGTTACTATTTTGTCCATCAACTGTTTACATGTCTTTGAGGTTGATTATGGGAAAGTGTTTGTACATTTCTGTGTTTGTGGATGCCAAAGAGATTTTTTTTAATTTGTAAGTAGTCAAAATGATTATCATCATTCTTCATCACTTTTCACATTTTGGTCATGCTTAGAACATCTGCACTCCAGAGTTGTGAAAACTTCATACATATTTGACCTAGGAAGAGACGATGAGGAAAGGGGTCCGAGAGTTGAAGGACATAGAATTGTTTCAAGTTGTGGAAAAGTAAAGATTACTAATGCGATGGGATTGTAAGGTTTAATTATTTTATAATTTTTGAAATGTGTCTACTGGGTCTGTAGGGTACTTAATATATGTGGTATCCAATAAATACAACTTAGGATGAGTACTCAAGACTTATTTGCCTTCTTACATTCACCAAAGTAAAGAAAATATTATGCCAGATTTCCAGTGAAATATAGACATGGATTGGCAACAGTGATGTGCATTTATGAAGACTTGATACTATGAACTGATAATTCATATTTTGGTTGATGTCTATACACTGTAGTTGTTCAAATACACATTAATTAAACTTTCTTGGGCATGCTATATTTCAATGATATGTCTGAGACCCATATAGACAAATTCATGGCTTCCATATGAAGACAACTTTGATATATTCAATCTATGAGTGACATGGTATACTTTTAGGGAGATTAAAAACTAAGATACTCTGGTATGCACTATCAAATTTCATTGGAGATGTGGTTACTTGAGCTGTGGTGGCTACACTTGCGATGAAGCGGAAGAAGAGCTCTGGTATGTAAGGACTGGGATCTGCATTGTCATGTTCCATTCTGCATTGATAATAAAATGTACCCCACATACCCCGCCCCCCACCACACACACAGACACACACACACAAAACACAAACACTCATGCTTACCCAGTCATAGTCCCTGCTTGCTGAAATTTCTGTAACGTAAAGCACTTGTGAAAATAAAGGACCAGTCATCACCTTGATGATTCTAGAGATGGGGACCCGATTCCCAGAAGTCATAGGTCAGAAGGGAAAGACTGCTGAGGACAGACCTCCAGTCACCCAAGAGGGAAGGTGGTCCAGCCCCTGCACGTCTCCTGTCCTTGTTTTCCTGATCCTGCCCTGGGTATGGTTATAGAGTCGAATAGATAAATTGAACTTCATCAAACCAAAACTTTTATGCATCAGAGAACACTATCAATACAGTGAAAAGGCAATCCATACAATGGCAGAAAATATTTGCCTATTACATATCTCATATGGGTCAAGTGTTTGGATACACAAAGAACCCTTTAAACATCAATAACAAAATGACAAATAATCCCATTACAAAATGGGCAAAGAAATTGAAAAGTCATTTCTTCAAAGAAGATACATAAACCGCCAATATACACAGGAAAAGATACTCAACATCATTAGCCATTAAAGAAATGCAAATTAAACCACAATAATATGGCTATAATAATAATTTTTTTAAAATGAAAATAAATGTTAGGAAAGATAAGCAGAAATTAGAACCCTCATACCACTATATTTTATGGAAATATAAAATGGCCAGCTGAGGTTCTTATTTGGTGGAAGCATTTCTTTCCTGGGAAATCCACTAAGCCCAAGGTTGCAGAGATGTGAAGCAGAAATTTTAAAAGTAATTAATAGGTGTAATTGTACAAGAATATTTATTAACATAATAAATTATCTCAGCTTTTTTAGTCAAAATAACTCCTATAACTTTGTTCATCTTTTTAGAAATTACTTAAATTGTACTGACTATGATAACATGCCTGTAGTCTCAGCTACTCAAGAGACTGAGATGGGAGGACACCTTGAGCCCAGGAGTTCAAGACTAACCCGGACAACATAGCAAAACTTGTCCTGAAAAAAAATGAAAAATTAGCTGCACATGGTAGTGCATGACTGTAGTCTCAGCTACCTGGGGGCTGAGGTGGATGGATCCCTTGAGCCCAGAAGTTAGAAGCCAACATGGGGTAATATAGAAAGACTCTTTCTCTAAAATTTTTAAAAAATAAATTGCATGAGTTATTCTAGACCTTTTATGTTTTCATATAAATTTGTAAATCAGCTCATAAATTTCTATCAAAAAGCCTCCTAGAATTTTGTTAGTTTTTTTTTAAATCTCTGGGTTAATTTGGGGAGTGTTGCATTTTAACAATGTTAAATCTTGCTCCCCATGAACAGGGGATCTATTTATTTAGGTCTTCTATGTACTCTTTCCACAGTGTCTCTTGATTTCTAGTGTCTTGGATTTCAGAGATCTTAAATATTTTTTGTATGATTTATTTATTTTCTTTGTTGTTGTTGTTTTTGTTGTTGTTTGCCCTATGAAGTTTTATTTTATTTCAATAGTTTTTTGGGGTACAGGTGGGTTTTGGTTTAATGGATGAGTTCTTTAGTGGTGAATTCTGAGACTTTAGTGCACCTGTCACCCAAGCAATATACACTGTACCCAATATGTAGTCTTTTATCTCACTCCCCTCTCAGCCTGTCCCTTGAGTCCCCAAAGTCCATTATATCGCTCTATATGTCTTTGCATCCTCCTAGCTTAGCTCCCACTTATAAGTGAGAACATACAGTATTTGGTTTTCCATTCCTGAGTTACCTCACTTAGAATAATGGCCTCCATCTCCATCTAGGTTGTTGCAAAACACATTATTTTGTTCCTTGTTATGGCTAAGTAATACTCCATGGTGTACATATACCACATTTTCTTTGTCCACTTGTTGGTCGATGGACACTTACTTTGTTTTCATGTCATTGCAATCGTGAAGTGTGCTGCTGTAAACATGCACGTGCATGTGTCGTTTTCATATAATGACTTCCTTTGGGTAGATATCCAGCAGTGGGATTGCTGGATTGAATGGTAGATCTACTTGCAGTTCTTTAAATAATGTCCATACTGCTTTCCAAAGTGGTTTTACTAATCTACATTCCCACCAGCAGTGCAAAAGTGTTCCCTTTTCACCACATCCACACAAACATCTACTGTGGTTTTTAAAAATTTTTTAATTTTTGCAGGAGTAAGGTGGTATCTTGTACTTATAATTTGCATTTCCCTGATGATTAGTTATCTTGAGCAATTTTTCATGATTGTTGGCTATTTGTATATCTTCTTTTGAGAACTGTCAATTCATGTCCTTTGCCCAGTTTTTGATGGGATTATTTGTTTTTTTTCTTGCTGATTTCTTTGCGTTCCTTGTAGATTCTGGATATTAGTCCTTTGTTGGATGTATAGTCTGTGAATATTTTCCCCTACTGTGTGGGTTGTCTGTTTACTCTGCTGATTATTTCTTTTGCTGTGTAGAAGCTTTATCATTCAACCAGGTCTCATTTATTTATTTTTATTTTTGTTGTGTTTGTTTTCGGGGTCTTAGTCATGAATTTTTTGCCTAAGCCAATGTCCAGAAGAGTTTTTTAATGTTATCATGTTATCTTCTAAGATTTTTATGGTTTTAGGTTTTAGGTTTTAGGTTTAAGTCTTTGATCCATTTTGAGTTGACATTTATATAAAGTGAGAGATGGAGATACAGTTTCATTCTATATGTGGCTTGCCAGTTTTCCCAGCACTCTCTATTGAATAGGATGTGCTTTTCCCAATTTATGTTTTTGTATGCTTTGTCAAAGATCAGTTAGCTGTTGGCATCTGGCTTTATTTCTGGATTGTCTATTCCATTCCATTGGTCTAAGCGCCTATTTTTTATTTTATCTTATTTTGAGATGGAGTTTCACTCTTGTTGCCCAGACTGGAGTGCAATGGCACGATCTCAGCTCATTGCAACCTCTGCCTCCCAGGTTCAAGTGATTCTCCTGCCTCAGCCTCCTAAATAGCTGGGATTACAGGTGCCCACCACCACGCCCAGATAATTTTTTTTGTATTTTTAGTAGAGATGGTGTTTTATCATGTTGGCTAGGCTAGTCTCGAACTCTTGACCTCAGGTGATTTGTCTGCCTCTACCTCCCGAAGTGCTGGGATTACAGGCGTGAGCCACCGTGCCCAGCTGAAGTGCCTATTTTATACCAGTATGATGCTGTTTTGGTAACGATAGCCTCGTAGTGTAACTTGAAGTCTGTTAATGGGTCGCTTCCAGATTTGTTATTTTTGCTTAGTATTGCTTTGGATACGTGGGCTCTTTTTTGGTTCCACATGAATTTTGGGGTTGTTTGCTCCAGTTCTGTGAAGAATGATGATGGTATTTTGATGAAAATTGCACTGAATCTATAGATTGCTTTGGGCAGTATGGTCATTTTCACAATATTGATTCTATTCATCTATGAGCATGGGATGTGTTTCCATGTGTTTGTGTCATCTATGATTTCTTTCAGCAGTGTTTTTTAGTTTTCCTTGCAGAGATCTTTCACCTCCTTGGTTAAGTATATTCCTAGGTTTTGGGGGGTGTTGTTTTTTTGGAGGTTTTTGTTGTTGTTGTTGTTGTTTGTTTTTGCAGCTGTTGTAAAAGGGATTGAGTTCTTGATTTGATTCTCACTTGGTCGTTGTTGGTGTATAGCAATGCTCCTGATTTGTGTACATTGATTTTGTGACCTGAGACTTTACTAAATTTGTTTATCAGATCTATGGGTCTTTTGGATGAGTCTTAGTATTTTCTAGGTATACGATCATATCATCAGTGAACAGGGACAGTTTGACTTCCTCTTTTCTAATTTGGATGCCCATTATTTCTTTCTCTTGCTTGATTGCTCTGGCTAGAACTTGCAATACTGTGTTGAATAGAAGTGGTGCACGTGGGCATCCTTGCCTTGTTTCAGTCCTTGGAGGAATGCTTTCAACTTTTCCCCATTCACTATGATGTTGGCTGTGAGTTTGTCATATATGACTTTCATGACTTTGAGGTAAGTCCCTTCTATGCCTATTTTGTTGAAGGTTTTTATCATAAAGCAATGCTAGATTTTATCAAATGCTTTTTCTGCATCTATTGAGATAATCATATGATTGTTGTTTTTAATTCTGTTTATGTGGTGTATCACATTTATTGACTTGCATATGTTAAACCATCTCTGCATCCCTGGGATGAAACCCACTTCAACATGGTGTATTATTTTTTTGATAGGCTACTGGATTTGGTTAGCTAGTATTGTGTTGAACATTTTTGCATGTATGTTCATTGGGGATATTTGTCTGTATTTTTCTTTTTTGTTATGTCCTTTCCTACTTTTGGCATTAGGGTGATACTGTCTTCATAGAATGATTTAGGGAGGATTCCCTTTTTCTCTATCTTTTGGAATAGTTTCAGTAGGATTGGTACCAATTTTTTGAATGTCTAATGGAATTTGTCTGGGAACCCATCTGGTCCTAGGCTTTTTTTTGTTGACAGTTTTTTTTATTACTGTTTCAGTCTCACTGCTTGTTATTGGTCTGCTCATGATTTCTATTTCTTCCTGATTTAGTCTAGGAGGGTTGTATGTTTCCAGGAATTTATCAGTTTTTAGATTTTCTAGCTGGTGTGTGTAAAGGTGTTCATAGTAGCCTTGAATTAACTTTTGTGTTTCTGTGGTATTAGTTGTAATATCTCCAGTTTGTTTTCTAATTGAGCTTATTTGGATCTTCTCTCCTTTTCTTGGTTAACCTCACCAATGGTCTATTGATTTTGTTTACCTTTTCAAAGACCCAACTTTTTTTTCATTTATCTCTTGTATTATTTTTGTTTCAGTTTCATTTATTTCTGCTCTGATCTTTATTATTTCTTTTTTATGCTGGCTTTGGGTTTCATTTGTTTTTATCTCTCCAGTTCCTTGAGGTGTGACATTAGGTTTTCAATTTGTGCTTATTCAGATTTTTTTTTTCCTTCCCAGATGAAGTCTCACTCTGTTGCCCAGGCTGGAGTGCAGTGGCGCAATCTCAGCTCACTGCAACCTCGACCTCCTGGATTCAAGTGATTCTCCTTCCTCAGCCTCCTGAGTAGCTGGGATTAAAGGCGCGTGCCACCACGCCTAGCTAATTTTTGTATTTTTAGTAGAGACAAGGTTTCACCATGTTGGTCAGGCTGGTCTCAAACCCCTGACCTTAACTGATCCACCTGCCTCAGCCTCTCAAAGTGCTGGGATTACAGGCATAAGCCACTGTGCCCGGGCTCTTTCAGGCTTTTTTAAGTCAGCACTTATTGCTATGAACTTTCTTATTTTCACTGCTTTGGCTATATCCCAGAGATTTTGATTACTTGTGACACTATTATCATTCATTTCAGAGAATTTTTAAATTTCCATCTTGATTTCATTGTTAACTGAAAAATCATCCAAGAATAGGTTATTTAATTTCCATGTACTCATACAGTTTTTAAGTTTCATTTTGGAGTTGATTTCCAGTTTTATTCCACTCTGGTCTGTGAAGATACTTTATAGGATTTCAGTTTTCTTAAATTTGTTTAGACTTGTGTTGAGGTCTATCATATGGTCTATCTTGGAGAATGTTCCATGTGCTGATGAGAAGAATGTATATTCTACAGTTACTGGGAAGAAATGTTCTGTAAATATCTGTTAAGTCCATTTGTTGTAGGATATGGTTTAAGATCATTGTTTCTTTGTTGACTTTGTGTCTTGATGATCTGTCTAGAGCTATCAGTGGAGTATTGATGTCCCCTGCTATTATTGTCTTGCTGTCTATCTCATTTCTTAAGTCTAGTAGTAACTGTTTTATAAAGCTGGGAGCTCCACTGTTAGGTGCATATAAATTTAGGACTGTGATATCTTCTTGTTGGAATTATCATTCTATCATTATATAATGTCCTTCTTTGTCTTTTTTTTTTTTTTTACTGTTGTTGCTTTAAAGTCTGTTTTTGTTTTGTATAAGAATAGCCACTCCTGCTCTCTTTTAAGAAAATGTAGTGCATATACATCATGGAATACTATGTGGCCATAAAAAAGAATGAGTTCTTGTCCTTTGCGGAACATGGATGGAGCTGGAGGCCATTATCCTTAGCAAATTAATGCGGGAAAAGAAAACCGAATACCACATGTTCTCACTTATAAGTGGGAGCTAAATGATGAGAACACATGGACATATAGAAGGGAACTGCACACACTGGGGCCTACCAGAGAGTGGAGGCTGGGAGGAGGGAGAGGATCAGGAAAAGTAACTAATAGGTACTAGGCTTAATGCCTAGGTAACAAAATAATCTGTACAGCAAACCCCATGATACAAGTTTACCTATATAATAAACCTGCACATGTATGCCTGAACTCAAAATATAAGTTAAATCAATAAAAAATTATTTTAAAATGATCGGCGGTCCCACCTGCCCAAAGGCTGTGCTGGGAGCTCTCTGGTCCCACCAGGCACTGGCACCCTGCACCACACCACATGCAGCAGGGCTAGCGACACACCCTCAGGCCAGCCAAGGCCATGGCCACTCTACCTATGATTTTCTATGTGGGTATTCAGCTTTGATGAGTGTCTTACATCTATAAGCTAAAATTCTTCATCAAATTTGGGAATCTTTCAGCCATAGATTTTTTTGAATTTTTTTTCTGATCCTGTGTCTATCTTCTTTTGGGACTCCAATTGGTCACCTGTTTACCTGCTTTATATTTTCTGAGGGTTTGTGAAGTTTTCTTCACTTTTCTTTAATCTTATTTCACTCTTTTTTATTTTTAGATTAGACAATTTCTGTTGATTTATATTCAAGGACACTGACTGATTCTTTATTCTGCCATCTCAAAACTTCTGTTGACCTCATCCAGAGCACTGTCATTATTTTTCTATCCAGTTTGAGAATTTCCACTTAGTACCATCTATAGTTTTCATTTCTCTGCTGCAATTACTTCTATTCACTCTTTAGAAATGATATTTCCTTCATTTCTTTCCACATATTTTTCAAAACTGTCTTAAAGAGTTTGCTGATAATTTCAATATCTGGACCCATTGAAACCCATTTATTTTTAATTTCCTCCTTATTATAGTCACACATTTCTTTCTTTTCTTTCTATGTCTGATCCTATTTGATAAAGTGGACATTATATGTTTTGTTTTAGAGAGTCTGGAATCTACAACAATCTCTCTAAAGATGGCAATTCTCCCACCACCACCACCCCTGCCCCTCAGTGAACGTGGTTAACTTTCCCTGCACTGGTAACTGTGAAATCTGTTACCCCTGCAGTTGGCTACAGCTGATGTCTCTGCTCTGTTTACCGATATCCAGTTGCTGCATTTTCAGCAGGGGGCTCTGGGTGTCTACTCTGCATCTTTGTAATATTTGTCCCTGCCAAACCTCATGTTGAAATGTAATCCCCAATGCTGCAGGTGGGGCCTAGTGGAAGCTGTTTGGGTCATGGGGGTAGATCCCTCATGAATGGCTTGGTGCCCTCCCCACAGTCATAAGTAAGTTCTCTTCGCTTTATTATTATTATTATTATTATTATTATTATTTTGAGACAGAGTCTCGCTCTGTTGCCCAGCCTGGAGAGCAGTGGTGCGATCTTGGCTCACTGCAACCTCCACCTCCTGGGTTCAAGTGATTCTTCTGCCTCAGCCTCCTGAGTAGCTGGGACTACAGGCACATGCCACCATGCCAAGCTAATTTTTGTATTTTTAGTAAGGATGGGGTTTCACCATATTGGCCAGGCTGGTCTCGAACTCCTGACCTCGTGATCCACCCGCCTCGGCCTCCCAAAGTGCTGGGATTACAGGCATGAGCCACCACATCCGGCCCCTGCTCTATTATTTTGAAAGAGAGTTGGTTGTTTAGAAGAATCTGGCTCCTCCCACCCTGTTCCTCTTTTGCCATGTGACATGCCTGGTCCCCCTTCCCCTTCCACCAGGAGTAAAAGGCTCCTGAGGTCTCACCAGAAGCTGAAGAGATGCTGGTGCCATGTTTGTACAACCTATATAGCCATGAGCCAAATAAACCTCTTTTCTTTATAAATTACCCACTCTCAGGTATTTATAGCAACACAACATGGACTAACAAGTACTGGGGCTATTTCTGCTAAGATTTTGCAATTCAGCTTCTCTGTGTTTGTTTTGCTTCTGGAATCCCCTCTAAATTGTCCTGCATCCTGCCTTTTCACCCCTCAGTCCAGTAAGATTTTTGCTTTCTTCTGCCTGTGTTGTATGCAGGTTGACAAATGCAAGCAGTCTATGTTACTGCAGACTTTCAGATATTGCCAGGATTATTTCACTCTTTCAAGGGTAGACCTCACTCTAGGTTCTTTCTGATTTTTCCCCAGGTTCCCCTGAGTGTCCCACACCCATGGGGAGTTTAGTGTTCAACCAGGGATGTGAGCATAGTTTGTATTCAGATTTTGAATCTGAATTCTTCAGCAGATCTCTTTCAAAATTGCCTGACTGATGTAAACATGTAAAAATGTAAACATTTTTAGCTTATTTGGGCTTTTAACTCTATAAACTGCCCTATTGATCCATTAGGGCTGCAGTTACCTGCTGGGAGTTTGGAGCAAACTCATAGGTAAGGAGGAAAGGCCACCAACTTGCAGCTTTTACCCAATAGATAGTCTCAAGATCAAAGCACTATTACATTTCTGCTCGCCTTTGTTTGTTTTCCAGTGACTTCAAATATTTATTTTTATGATTTTGTCCAGTTCTCATATTGCTATTTAGAGGAAGACTTGCTGATCTACCTGTTCATGTTGCCATTACCAGAAGTTCTGTCCTAAAAGAGACTTTTGGGAGAAAATGTCACAGCTCACAATTCAATTTTGTGAGACAAATAAGGATCCAGACACCAGAGATTCCTTGTTCAGGTTTTTCAAATTGAAGTAAGTTGAGGCCTTCTGTTTGTAACCCCAAATTTCTAAAAGAATCGCTGACTTCATATGACCCCCAATGATAAAGAAGGACACTCTACATAGATTGGACTCATTACTATTTAAGACAGCACATTCCATACCTAGGAAATTTCTGACTCTGTAAATCAAGTCACCAATGCTGCAGTTAAATTTGAGTGGAGGCCAAGGAAGTAGTTCAGTTAAGTGTGAAACAAGCACTGCCCCTCTCCCCTACCCTCTCTTAAAATCATGCAATCACATGTGTCTTCATTCAATCCTACAGCTGATTGGAAGCTGTTGGAAATGAGACTCCCTCATTATTCAGGCCCTGGGCTTTTCAACTCAAGGAATTCCTCCAAGATTGGAGTACAAGCTCTTTGAAAAATAACTGCACCGGTGTTATTAAACGTTAATGAAGATAAATAATTTCAACAAAGAAAAAATGTGATTTCTTATCTTGTGAGGGGATTTCTCTGCACCAAAATCCGGTAAGTTAGTACAAGTTCAAAACATTCCATAAGAAATGGAAATGTCATTCTGATCCAGGCAGGCATCAAACATATCTGCCATTTGGCCTAAATGCTTCCTTGGATATGTGTGTGTGTGTGTGTGTGTGTGTGTGTGTGTGCGCGCGTGTGTGTGTGTGTGCGCGTGTGTGTGTGTGTGTGTGTGTGTGTGTGAAACAGGCATAGGAGCTCACTGCTCAAGTTCCAGGGCTTCGAAGAAAAGCTTTATTCTTTATTCTTCTACTAAATAACAGTTCCTGGCTTGCTACTGAGCCCTGGTAGATTCTGAATGCCATGATCATGATACAGCAAATGACCAAGTGACTTGAGATGTCCACCATGACCTGGATTTTATTTATTCACTTATGGTCACCAGCACTCAGTGAGCATTCAGGAGGAAGTGGATATATATACTGTATATACATACAGTATCAGACCTGAGCTGGTCCTTAGCAAGGCCAGCTAAGTTGCCTCATAATATGTACTATATTCCTAGTATTCTTATTACCACTGGTAAATCCACTCTCCCTTGTCTCATCCTTGGGGTCTTGAGGAGTTCCCTAAGGACTGTTGACTATAGAAGAAGAAATTTGAATATGCTTTGAATACCCAAAAGTGTACTTTGCAGCATTACAGCCCTTTTTAGGAATTGTCATAAAGAAGAGTGGAAAGGAAAGTACCTCCAGCAGGAAGATTTTCAATCAGACCATCTGGAAGTTCATTTTGCCTAAAGAAATATCTTATTGTTAGATCCTCATCAATGCATGGGTAGTGACTAATAGTTTGCTCAGGTATTCAATGACTTCAAAGGAACAAGATGGGAAGGTTTGTGATAAGGAGCTTTAAGGATAAGGTGTGAACCACTAATGTGGCATATTAGGTATCTACGCCTACTCTCATGCTAACAAAAAATGGGTTATCAAAAGATAAAATACATCATAAAAGCACTGAGAGGCTTTCACATCAGTGAAAACTGTCTAATAAATATCAGGAAGCTCTGAATTTACTTTTATCCTGAGCTCATTTGCTCAATGTAGACAAGTTAAGCTTTAGTTTCCATGGCCTCATAAGGAATTTGGAATAGGAGGCAAGTCTCAAGTAGCACTCAAAGTGGGAAATCTCCTAGGATGATCTCCTCCATTTTGCTGGGACCCCTAAGTTCAGTTCCTCGGTGTAAGAGAAATGCCCCATGCTCAAAGGACTGCAGGAACAGCTGCCTTGGTGCTGAGTGGAACTGGGAGTAAACATAATGGCCCCACACATGTATTTGCAGCCCAAGTTCTCACTACCTGGATTGTCTGGCAATCATCAAGTTGTGAATTCAGTTTATAGTGGGCCAGGCTCCAAGGAACCTGTCAAAAAACAAACGCAAATAACACGCAAAACAAACACAAATCCTCTCTGGAGGAAGATGTCATCAACCACACTTAAAATTTCCTAAAATTATTCCATAAGCAAAATGAGCACTTACCAGGAAAACAACAACAAAACTATTTACAAGATACAAGTCACCATGAAAGATCAAGCAGAAACACCATACAGCAGAATAATAAGAATAAGACATAAAATAGCCCTGCTTCCTGTGATTAAAAAACAGGCTTTAAAAGACTTCCAGTTAATCAGAAACTACAAATAATGTTCAGGAAAAATTGAAAAGACAAATATAAAACATTTAGAAATGAAATACATGATAATATAAAAATCAAGTCTCAATGGATTTTTTCCAAGCAAAGACAATTTGACACAAACACGCTTTTACTGAAGGGAGTTCTAAAGAATATGCTTCAGGCAAAAGGCGAAATCCTGGTTGGAAGATACAAGATAAAAGAAAACATAAATACAAAATAAAAATCAAAAATGAAAGTAAATGTGTGGTTAAATTTAAATTAAGGTGAGGTTAAAAAGGACAGCATATGAGTTTTGAGGGAATATATAGTTAGTTAAAATCTATATCCATTCTCTCTTGTCCATACAATAATGCTGGATTTCTTTTCTTTACATTCTGATCTAAAATTTCAAGATAAACTTCTAAATCATAGTGTTGTCTAATTTGATTTTGCTTTGTACATTTTAGTATAGGGCATATAAAGGGAATATTCTGTGGGTCTTTCTATGTCATCTTTCCAAGGATTGCTGAATCCTTGTAAGTGATGCATGTACAAAGTCATATGTAGAGTTTTCACTAGTGCAGTTTTCCACAGTAAGATTGCCATTTGTAAAGGTGGTGGGACCTGCTAGTTTGTCTTTCAGAACCATGGACAGTTCTACACGTCCTGGGATGTAGGGAGCCAGATCCTCTTTCACCTGGATACCATGATACATCAGGGAGAAAAGTTTAAAAAGAACCTTAATAGTCATGAAACTGTGATTTTAAATATAGTCAGTAACCATAGTCTCAAATACTGCATTCTTCTTCCCCCTCTTCCTGCCCCTAATACTTTATTAGCCATGTATTTCATGGTCATTGCCATAGAAGGACCTGTTTGAGCAGAAGACACGACTTTAGGCCAGTCTTGGCATGACACTATAGTGGCTGAAGAGCAATAGATCTAGAACAAAACTGCCTGGAACTGAATTCTGGCCTCAAATCTTCATAATTGTGTTACCCTGGGCAAGTTACTTAAACTTTCTGAACCTAATTTTCTTGAGCAAGTTACCTATACTTTGTAGACTTCTTGACTTCCTTCCTTCCTTCCTTCCTTCCTTCCTTCCTTCCTTCCTTCCTTCCTTCCTTCCTTCCTTCCCTCCCTCCCTCCTTCCTTCCTTCTTTCTTTCTTTTGAGACAGAGTTTTGCTCTCTTTGCCCAGACTGGAGTGCAATGGTGCAATCTTAGCTCACCACAACCTCTGCCTCCCGGGTTCAAGTGTTTCTCCCGCCTCAGCCTCCCAAGTAGCTGGAATTACAGGCACCCGCCACCAAGCCCAGCTAATTTTGTATTTTTAGTAGAGACAGGATTTCACCATGTTAGCCAGGCTTGTCTCGAACTCTTGACCTCAGGTGATCCGCCCTCCTCGGCCTCCCAAAGTGCTGGGATTACAGGTGTGAGCCACAACACCCAGCCTAAACTTCATTTCTTTATTGTGGATAAGAACATTTTTTTCATATGGTTGTGATAAATACTGAACAAAATAACTTATGTAGGTACTTAAGCCAATGCCTGGAATACAGCAAGTGCCCTTTAAATGCAGCCACTATTATTATTATAGTTGTTGCTATCGTTATTTTCCATGTAATACATTGAGGACTTTCTTTTTCATAGGTTCCCATGAAGGCTCTCTAAGGACTTGCTGAATGAGCAAGATTTGTTAAGATCATGAAAATTCTCTAGGCATAGCCCTACTAAAATTTTTCAGAAGTTCCCAATATCTTATCCACAGATTTCCTTTGATGTCAGAATATTAGTCTTGGTTAGGGGCATCTTCTGGAGTTTGAGTGTAGTCTGGTGTTTTGGGAAAAGAATTATTTCAATAATAGTAAGGCTCAATAATGTTAAAACTGAGAGTTTCAAAATGTTTAATCTGAAGCAAGGGTAGAGCAGATACTTCCTCAATGGGAAGAGGAGAATGTACCAATTGCAAGACAGCTAAAGAAATATGTGTTTGCTTATTGTCAGTGTTAATAACAGTGTTTTTATTAGTCAAATGCCTCATGTGGTACATTCTTCTGAATAAATATCTTTAAAGGCCTCCGCAAAAAAGGACCTCTGGCCAACACCATCCTCCAAGTCAAATGGGAAGAATCAATTAAGCAGAGGATGCACCAATCAGTTCATGAAAAGTTCAAGCCTCATGTTTTACAGAATTAAGTCCAATAATGAGAAGAAATCGGACATAGAATTCAACATATATCTTGAACATAGAAGGTGACATTTTAGCTCTACAGGTCCCTGAGAACGTTTTACACTTTGCTTTGATGAGATGTGGTGAGCACACATTTGATGTATTAGGTATTTTTGCAAAAGTATTTTATAGATGTCTTTTCATAGGTACTCTGAGATTACCTTCAAGAAAGATAAGTTATAAACTCATTTCTAGAAGGCTAAGTTCAAAATTTAGTGGCATAAGCAAGCAAACATTTCAAAGAAATACTGGCTATACTTTGCCATCCTGTGGAAAGACTGGACAACTGCAATGGGGTAGCCTCAATTTTTGCCCTGAAAGGAATCCTTAGAACTCATCATACTCAGATATGCTTATTTTAAAATGAAATGAAAAACAAGTAACTCAAACTTTGTGACATCCTCCACTAATATTTTTCAATATATATTTCTGCCACTTGTTATTTCAAAATATGATTTCTACTTCTATATATATTCTATTGCAATTACATTATATATAATATTCATGGTGCTTCATACACATAAACACACTTGATCCTTACAATCCTGTACAGTTGTCAGAGAAGAACTCATTATTCTGTTTTTTTTTTTACTAATAAATAAATAAGGCCTAAAAATATTCCATAAAACCCCAAAGGTGAGAGTTGTGAGCTCCTGGGCATACCAACTTCTTGACCTTCCAAATTGTTCTCTCTCCTCTCCTTTAAAAATATGGGGGAAAAATCAGATTGATGGTATCTTCTTATCCTAATAATTAACTGACTGAACAGAAAGATAGACTGAGACAATGTAGTGGACAGTCTAATATTAGAATTTTAAAACCTTATTCTGTCACCCCGATGCAGTGGTTTTTTAAATACATATAAGAATATGAAAAACATGTTTGGGGAAATTGAATCATAGCACCTAATGCAATTCCTCCAATTAGTAAGCTGTCAATACTTGTTAAATAAATGCATATACGAAGGTTAAAATTTGGAAGGGATGGAAGGAAGCATAAGCAAGAACATAAACACAAACCTTTATCCGTTAGATAAAATGATAAAAGGTCCATAAGTGAGGGGAGACCAGTGGGGCTAAGAATGTAGAGGAATGTTTGGGAAAACTGCCAGAACATGGTGCCTGACCTCTCACAGAAGAGAGGATGAGAAGCAAGGTAGCTCGCAGATTAACTGACTGAGGAAAGCAGAAACTAGGAGGACTTGGAGTGTGGTATGGTGGACACCAACCCCAGATCCATTGACTAGCTGCTCACAATCCCCCAAGAATTTTTAAGAGTGAAGTGTTCTGCTTCCGGAGATTGATTCTGTAGGCCTAGGAGAGGGCCAGAAATAGTTACTTATAAAAGGTTCTCCGTGGGATTTGGCATGACTGCATTCTAGACTTTAGAGTGTAATATCCAGGCCAACTTAGGGACCACAAAAAGGAGGATTCTACCTATAGAATGCCCTAGAGAGGTTGAGAGGGCAATAAGATTAAGCAAAGTCCACTCTGTTGCAACTAGAGGTGGCTGCTGACACTTGAGAATTGACAAGAAGTTCAGAATGAGCAAAGGCGCAGAAACGGACAGAGTGATGGATAATCAGGGGGCAATGAGGAGACTGGCCTGGCAAGAGCATGTTCTCAAAATGGGAGGGGCTTTGGAGCTGTAGGGTCAGAGGTGGCCAAATGAGAGGCTTGGCATTTATAAGTGAGCTTGATAAATTAAATATTTGAATAAGACTGAGGTATGAAAAGAGCTATGATGTGCTCAGTGGCTAAATGACTAAAGTCAAGATGTTTTCAACTCAACCTGACTGAGCTAGATGGAAGATTTGGTAATTAGATATGAAGGGAATGGAGATAAGTCTCTTACTTACCTTCTCCAGATGATACCTTCTACCTGTTTGCAAGCGCTCTTGGGCTGGAGTACAAGGGTGGTTTCAGGGACAGAGAAATTTAGAGGCAGAGAGGGAACCTCTAAGACTAGGAAAGTAAGCGTGGCTGGGCCTAGAGAAGCTGAGTTCCAAATGTAGTTACTGACTTTATATACAGAAGCAATGGGATTGTCAGTCAGTCAGTCTGCCTAGCTAGTCAGTTAGATCATCAGATTAACCACTATCATGTAGTGCTGTGGGAAATCAGAAAACTCTGGGATGGCTGTAAGGATATGTGTGTAAAGATGTCTGTGCAGTGGACATTCAGTGTAGTGACAACTAAAGGAAACCATCTGAATATTTACACTAGAGAAGCAGTTGCATGCAAAATACTATGGAATTAGGGTTTAAAATGATGAGCTCAAGCTTTCTCTATGAAATTGGTGAGATGTTCACAATATAAATAAAAAACATCAAGTAACAGGGCATTATAAATAGAATAGTTGAATTTTTTGCTACAATGAACAAGAAAATAAAATAAAGCTCATCTGAATTGAAAAGAAAGAAGTAAAACTACCTTCGTTACAGATGATATGATCTTATACATAGAAATCCAAAAGAATTTACTTTAAAAAAGCATTACAACTAAAGAATTTTATCACATTGGCAGGATACAAAATCAAAATATAAAAATCAATTGTGTTTCTATACAGTATCAATGAATGAAAAATGAAAAATGAAAATCTTGAAACTATATATAAAAAGTAGCTCAAAATGTATCAAAGACCTAAGTGAAAGAGTTAACATTAGAAAACTCTTAGAAGGAAACAGGCCAGGCACGATGGCTCATGTCTGTAATCCCAGCATTTTGGGAGGCCAAAGTGGGCAGATTGCTTGAGCCCAGGAGTTGGTAGACCAAACTGGGCAGCATGGCAAAACCCTGTCTCTACAAAAAATACAAAATTTAGCCGGGTGTGGTGGCATGCACCTGTAGTTTCACCTACTCAGGAGGCTGAGGTGGGAGAATCACTTGAGCCTGAGGAAGTTGAGGCTGCAATGAACCGTGATTGCACCACTGCACTCCAGCCTGGGTGACAGAGTGAGACTGTGTCTCAAGGAAAAAAAAGGAAAGAAAGTAAGGAAGGAAGGAAGGAAAGAAGGAAGGAAGGGAGGGAGGAAGGAAGGGAGGAAGAGAGGAAGAAGAAAAAAGAAAGAAAGAAAGAAAATAAAACATAGGCATAAATCTTCATGGCTTTGGATTAAGTAAAGGCACCTAATCTTAAATGTGACACCAAAAGCATAAGCAAAAAAAGAAGAAAAAGATAAACTGGACGTCATCGCATTTAAAAACTTTTGTATGTTTACAGATGCCATCAAGAAAGTGAAAAAAAAAAACCCCACAGAATGGGAGAAAATTTTTGCAAATCATACATATGGTAAAAGAGAAAATTTTGTCTATAATATATAAAACCGGTTATAACTCAATAGTAAAAAGGCAAATAATCAAATTTAAAAATAAAGGATTTGGATTTACAGTTCTCCAGTGAAAATATACAAAAGGCCAATAAGCACGTGGAAACATGTTCAACATCATTAACCATCAGGAAAATGCAAATCGGCCCTACAATGCGATAGTATTTCACACTGTGAGACAAAGTAGTAAATGTCAGAAGCTGACTTTTACTTGCCAGCATAATTTCACAAAGTCCCTGTGAGAGTTGCACATCCTCCTAGTTCATCGTGAGGATGTGCAACTCTCTGGAAAGATGCTTTGAGGACAAAACAGGATAAAGCACACAGCCCCCAACGTCTCTTGCCTAAGCCACTATATTCCTTAAAAGATGAATGCCCTTGCTTTTCCCTGCACATAAGATAATGTCTGACGGGCATAGTGATCATGCTTCTGTAATCTACACTGGACGTATTCCTGCTTCCAAACTTTGATGTGATTCTGCTTTAATGTAACTTCTTACCAAGTGTGATGTGATGTTGCAATACAGAACACCTATAATATAAGCAGTGGGCTGAAATACTGAGCTGGTACAGTCTGATAGAGCCTCTCTAAAGGGCTGTTCTTGGGTTGTAGGCCTCCGTCTATAGTCCTCAGTAAGATTTCCAAATAAAACTAAGTTAATTCTTTAAAGTTTGATTTTTTCCCTTAGTTGTAACCACCCACTAGAATGGCTACAATAAAAAGATAATAATGAACACCGATGAGGATGCAGAGAAACTGGAAGCTTCATATACTGCTGGTGGGAATATAAAGAGGTGAAGCCCCTTTAGAAAACAGGCCAGCACTTCCTCAAAATGTCAAACACTAAGTTAGCATATGACCCAGCTATCCCCTCCTAGGTATACAGCATACCCAAGAGAAACAAAAACATCTGTCCACACAAACACCTATACGCAAATGCTTACGGCTGCATTATTAATAATAGCACAAAATAGAAAGAACCCAAATGTCCATCAACTAATAAATGAATAGGCAAATTGTGATATATCCATACAATGAAATATTATTCAGTAATAAAAAAGACGTGAAGTACTGCCACATGCTACAACCCAGACGAACCATGAAAATGTTACGGTAAGTGAAAGAAGCCAGACACGAAAGGCCACATATCGTATAATTTCCCTTACGTGAAATTTCCAGAATAGGCAAATCTGTAGATATGGAACACAGGTTAGTGGCTGCCTAGGGCTAGGGGAGTTGAGAGGAAATGAGGAGTGGCTGCCAATGGGTATGGGGTTTTTTGTGGGGTGATGAAAATGTTCTGGAATTGATAATGATAATGTTGGCACAACTATGTGAATATACTAAAAACCACTGACTTGTATATAATGAATGTGTGAATTTTATGATATGTAAATTATATCTCAAGTTGTTGTAAAATGATTAAACTACAAATAAAATTTGAGGACTTTTGCTAAAAAAAAGCTACAAAGTAAAAACACTCAACACTTAATATAGGTGCCTATGTTTGTATGAAAATGGAGAAAGTAGACACATAGAGAGTAGATTGATAACATAAATTACCTTAGTAAAGTGGGCATAGATTTAGAGATAGAAGATATTTTAAAATATATTTATACATATTGTGATGATTTCATTTCCAACTCTGAGCATGTATTATTTGTACACTAAAATTTTAAAAATAGAAAGTTAAGAATCTTGAAAACTCTTCAGCCAAATAAAAAATAGTAACAAACAAACAGCAATAAAGAGCCATCTGGAATTTCTTCTTGGAGAATTGGCTTAAGCATACACAAGGTGAAAAGAGGGCAATGGCTGAAGAATCAAGGCAGGACTACAGCAGTAGGTGAGAAGAAAATGTAAGCGCGGAGCTATAAGACAAGGTAGAGAGAAGATGACAGAGCCAAGAAGTGGACATGAATCCTATAAAACACTCTTGGAGACTCAGAAATGACTGGGTTTATGTAGGAGAGAAACTGCAGCCTAGAGTCCAAGACGGCCAGACACCAGGGACAGGGCATGGAATCAGAAGTGCTTTCCAGTCATTTCTTTTTGTCTCCCTCCATCACCCCCGCAAAGTCGTTGCTTAAATTACAGCCATTGCACCTTGAGATGGTGGTACCATTTGGAGACTTTAAGATAATAGAAAGGTAGGCCGGGCGCGGTGGCTCACGCCTGTAATCCCAGCACTTTGGGAAGCCGAGGCAGGCGGTTCACGAGGTCAGGAGATGGAGACCATCCTGGCTAACACGGTGAAACCCCATCTCTACTAAAAATACAAAAAAAAAAAAAAAAAAAATTAGCCAGGCATGGTGGCGGGCGCCTGTAGTCCCAGCTACTTGGGAGGCTGAGGCAGGAGAATGGAGTGAACCCAGGAGGTGGAGCTTGCAGTGAGCCGAGATCGCGCCGCTGCACTCCAGCCTGGGCAACAGAGCGACACTCCCCTCAAAAAAAAAAAAAAAAAAAAAAGATAATAGAAAGGTAACTTTTGAGCTCTTCTGAGGTAAGGAAGTGTATTAGTGTAGCTTTTTCCAGGAAAACCACCACACTCTAGTATAACATTTTAGGAATAACGTGTTCAATATAGGAATTAGAGCCTATACTAATGTTGGAAAATCTAGGAGAGCAAATATTGGTGAAGTCATGTTGTAGGCAAAATAAAGGTCTCCCAAGATGCCTATGTCCTAACCCCTGGAACTTGTGAAAATGTCACCTAATATGACAAAAGGAAGTTTTCAGATGTGATTAAGTTGAGGCTCATGAGATGGGAAGATTATCCTGTATTATTCAGGCAGGTCCAATACAATCACAATGGTCGTTATAAGTGAAAAAGGTAGCAGCAGAGTGAGAATTGGAGAGGGAGATGTGACAACAGAATCAGAGGTCAAAGTGATGGGACTGCTGACTTTAGAAGATGGAGGAAGGAACCACGAGCCAAAGAATGCAGGCAGCCTTAAGAAGTGGAGAAGGTGAGGAAACAGATTTTCCCTCAGAGCCGCCATAGGAATGCAGCCCTGATGACCCCTTATTTTAGGCCAGAGAGACCCATATCAGACTTCTGACCTCCAGAACTGTAAGATAATAAATTTGCGTTGTTTTAAGCCACTTCATAGCAGTAATTTGTTACAGCAGAAACAGAATACTAATACCAGTCACCATTGTAGCTCTTGGAGGCTGCAGCTGGGAGGTCAGGGAAGCATGTGCTGAAGAACTTAGCCTGAAGCACAGGTGGGAGGTTCCTAGAACCCTGCTGGGAGATTGCTGTCATTCTCCAGAACCTCTGAGAAAGCTCCCACCATTCATCTCGGTCTGCACAGGCAAAGCAGATGGGTCTTTGGCCTAGCACAGAAGCCACTGAGAACCTGACATCTGCCTACTCTTCTGCCTGCAGCCACGACTGATGGGTAGAGGCCTGTCTCTCCATCTCTTCTGGGCACCATATCTCATGCAAGTTTCTCTGATTGGAAAATGTGAATCGGAACTATACAGGGAAGGGGATTCTGGGAGACATACTCCTTGCTTCTCGGCAGAGAAGGTGGCTGCTGATTTGATAAGACACAATCCTGCACATTAGTTAATGATGGCAAGTGTAGATGGGCTTGTTGACCCCTGATTGACAAAGCAAAGATTCCACAGCTGATGTAAACTAGTGATGTGTTTAAGAGACTTGTTTAAACTCAGCAAATATTAAGTGTGATGTGTCATGGATTATGAAAAGAGTAAACTCATGGTTTGTGCTATTTACCTCAGTATTACTGAAGAAGGATCCTAGAAGCCCACTGATCCAGCTAGACCTTTATGTTTTTTTAACTTTTATTTTAAGTTCAGGGGTCCGTGTGCAGGTTTGTTATATAGGTAAACTTGTATCATGGGGATTTATTGTATACATTATTTCATTACTCAAGTATTAAGCCTAGTACCCATTAGTTATTTTTCCTAATCCTTGCCCTCCTCCCAGCCTCCAATAGGCCCCAGTCTCTGTTGTTCCCCTCTTTGTGTCCATGTGTTATAATCTAACTTCCACTTATAAGTGAGAATATGTGGTATTTGGTTTTCCATTCCTGCCTTAGTTTTCTAAGGATAATGACCTCCAGCTCCATTCATATTCCTGCAAAGGACATGATGTTGTTCTTTTTTATGGCTGCATAATATTCCATGATGTATATGTACCACATTTTCTTTATCTAGTCTACCATTGGTAGGCATTTAGGTTGATTCCACGTCTTTGCTGTTGTGAATAGTGCTGCAATGAACATACACATGTATATGTCTTTATAACAGAATGATTTCTATTCCTTTGGGTATATACCCAGTAATGGGATTGCTGGGCTGAATGGTATTTCTGTTTTTAGGTCTTTGAGGAATTGCCACACTGTATTCCACAATGGTTAAACTAATTTACACTCCCACCAACAGTGTATAAGCGTTCCTTTTTCTCAGCAACCTGGCCAGCACCTGTTATTTTTTGACTTTTTAATAATAACCATTATGACTGGTGTGAGATGGTATTTCATTGTGGTTTTGATTTGCATTTCTAATAATCAATGATGAGCTTTTTTCATATGATTGTTGGTTGTATGTATTTCTTCTTTTGAGAAGTGTCTGTTCATTTCCTTTGCCCACTTGTTAATGGGGTTGTTTCTTGTAAATTTCTTTAAGTTCCTTATAGATGCTGGATATTAGATCTCTGTCAGATGCATAGTTTGCAAAACTTTTCTCCCATTGGGTAGGTTGTCTATTTACTCTGTTGCTAGTTTTCTTTGCTGTGCAGAAGCTCTTTAGATTAACTAGATCCCATTTGTCAATTTTTGCTTTTGTTGTCATTGCTTTTGGTGTCCTCATCATGAAATCTCTTCCCATTCCTATGTCCTGAATGGTATTGCCTATGTTGTCTTCTAGAGTTTTTATAGTTTTGGGTTTTACATTTAAGTCTTTAATCTATCTTGAGTTAATTTTTGTATATGGTGTAAGGAAGGGGGCCCCGTTTCAATCTTTGCATATGACTAGCCAGTTATCCTAGCACCATTTATTGAATAAGGAATTCTTTCCCCATTGCTTGTTTTTGTCAAGTTTGTCAAACATAAAATAGCTGTAGGTGTGCAGCCTCATTTCTGAGTTCTCTTTCTGTTCCATTGGTCTATGTGTCTGTTTATGTACCAATACCATGCTGTTTTGGTTATTGTAGCACTGCAGTATAGTTTGAAGTCAGATAGCATAATGCCTCCAGCTTTGTTCTTTTTGCTTAGGATGGCCTTAGCTATTTTTGGTTCCATATGAATTTTAGAATAGTTTTTTCTTTTTCTTTTTATTTGTTTATTTATTATTATTATTTTAGATGGAGTCTTGCTGTGTCACCAGGCTGGAGTGCAGTGGCATGATCTGGGCTCACTGTAAACTCCACCTCCCAGGTTCAAGCAATTCTTATGCCTCAGCCTCCCAAGTAGCTGAGATTACAGGCATGTGTCACCACACCTGGGTAATTTTATTTTTATTTTTTGTATTTTTAGTAGAGACTGGGTTTCACCATGTTGGCCAGGCTGGTCTCGAACTCCTGACCTCAAGTGATCTGCCCGCCTCGGCCTCCCAAAGTGCTGGGATTACAGACATGAGCCACCAAGCCTGACCTTAAAATAGTTTTTTTCTAGAACTACATATTTAAATTGGAAAAGATGTGTTGTATTCTCTGAATCCTAGTGGCTCACAGGAGCTGTCTAGAATAGCCTGACTATAGCAATTCCTAGTTAAGCCAGAAGTTTGAAATGAGTTCAAAGTGTAGGGATAAAATTCCAGTGAGAGGCAGAAAACTGGAAAGTTAATGCTTTTCCATGTTAATCAATCAAGTCCATAAATTGTTTATATGTGTAGCTTTCTCTCTTAATTTGAATAATTTCTTAGAGATGAGTATCACTGTGAAGTGTGGGGTGGCTATGAAAGTATAAGATTGCTTCTAGCAACTCACACAGTCACTCATGGATGCTCGGCCCAAGACCCTGATAGCCACGGTTCCACTCCAAGGGAAAAGAGGCCATCTGAGGAGCAAATAGAACTCTATCACAAGATGAGTGCAGGAAACACCCCAAACACAGTCCCTAAGGTCGATGCAGAAACAGCGTAAGAAGAAAGTGTCCAGATATCCAGAATCCTATGAGGTAGGGATTCAGAACTCTCAAAGGCCACCCTCTTACATCTGTCAATAGGTCAAGGTTTCTGTGGATGTGTGTGGCTGTGGCTGACAGGGACCCCAGTGATCCCTATGAGGTTAGACGTAGCTTAAGAGAGAATAAGGGGCACGCACATGCACACACACACACACACACGCACACACACACGCACACACACACAGAGTCAAGGGCAGCCCTTCAAAGCTTCCCATCATCTTCCTCTGTCCATATTTCATTCTCCATCATCTCACTTTCCATTTTTTCCTTTTTAAGCAATAACAAATTAGTTATATGATGCTGGCTGGTGTGGTGACTTACATTTGTAATCCTAGCATTTTGGAAGGCAGAGGCATGGAAATGGCTTAAGCCCGAGAGTTTGACAGCTGTGTGATTCTAGACAGAGTCCTTCACTTCTCTGTGTCTCCATTTTCTCATCCATTTTATGTGAATCACTATTTCAACAAACAGGGATCAAACGTAGACTGTTTGAGGGAAAAGTAAGTAAGCCAGTGTAGCTGTCTTCATTGATCCTGGTGTCCAGTAGGGGAGATGGACACCTTTTTTAGTGTCATACCTAATGTTACACATTTTAAAAGTAAATTTTTTTTAAATTTGTATGTGTTGTCTCTTGAACTCTCACTATGGAGAGACACTCTCAGTGTGCATTGTTACTGTAAGAATCCCTATTTTTCATCTATCCAACAAATACAGCTTGAAGGCCCAGAATATGCCAGCTTCTGTGCTCCTCCTTGAAAATAGAACAGTGAGGAGCATAAACATAGGCATTTATGTTCTGAAGTTACAGTGTAGTGAGAAAGAAATACATGAGCCAGATGAATAGAAGCTACTACAAAAAGTGCTTTGAGAAGGAAGGAAAGGATCTGTGAGAAAAGAAAGGAGGAAGAGCAAAGCCAGTTTCAGGAAAGCAGGCTAAACTTCCAACAGGAATCCAAGTATAAAAAAAAAAAAAAAAAAGCAGGAATTAGGCAGACCCAAGCAAAGGGAACACCTAGTCCGACCAAAAAATGAAAGGCTTTGCAGCATGTTTGTGAAACTGTAAGCAGAATCACTGGCTAGTGCAAGAGGAGAGAGAGAGAAAATTGGAAAAGTGTGCAAGGTCCTGTTCACACAGGGTTGGGAAAATTGGTTAAGAATTTGGGTGTTATCCTGAGGTTAATAGTGAGTCATTAAAATATTTTAAGTAAGAAAGAAACAAAAGTGGATTTTTGTTTCAGCAGGATTCCTGCAATTGTAGGGCACTGACCCAAGTCTTGCTTGGGTCAGAGCAAGACTGGAGGCAATAAAATGAGTTGGGAGATTTTGAAGAACTCTGAACAACAGAAAGAGTGACAAGATCTAGGGCTGTGGAGACTACGCTGGGATCCAGGAGGACAGGCACTAGAGATGGTGCAGCTACAAAGGCTCGGGGGCAGGGTCGGGAAAGCCTGAAGCTCCCACTTGTGGAGCAGAGGAGAGGTCTAACACCTGCACACCCCAGTGAAGGGGCAGAATGGGAGTGAACAAGGGAGCCCCTGGGCTGGGATTTTCCATGTTTCTGGCACTAGGACGGGGTGGGCAACACAGTGTGGAGCCCAGAGTAGAGTAGAATTGCAGGTTGTCACTCAACAAGATGTGCAGCAGCTAAAGGTTGTGGGAGTCATGTAGGGGAAGGTAAATCCAAAGTAGCTAGAAGATGCACAAGACAATAACCCCTGGCTCAGAACCTCTGCACACTTGCAGGCATTTGGTCTACTCTGTAATTGATTTGCCACTGGGAACCTGCTAGCTCCCCCACTCCTTTCTCGTGATCCTTTCTATGATCTGGCTCTTTGGTCCTCCTGTTGAACCTCCCTCCCATGCACAGTTGCTGGATGACGTCTCTTGGTGCCTCCATAATTGCTCACTAATGTGTGGTGTCCTTTCATTCCCAGGCTAGAAGGGCCTAAATATGAAAAAAATCCTGAAGAGACCAGGCTCCTTTCCTCCATCCTTTCTCCTTAGGAAAGCAGGAGGAGATGAGACACTTCAAAATCCTGGAGGTACAACCACTGGGACATGTGATGTGATCCCAGAAACTTGAGAGAAAGGAAGGGGTCTCAGGACGGGGTGTGTGTGTGTGTGTGTGTGTGACACTAGAGAGTTTGGGACAGGACTATGTCCTCTGTGCAGAAACAGCTGAAAACCTGGAGTTGAGAATTTCTACTGAAGGTCCCAGAAACACCCTGAGAAGAACAGGAAAATGGGAAGAGACAATCATAGTGACTGGCAAGTGAAGGATAAATAGCCAGGAGACATTTTTTTAGGTTTTCATAATTTACTTTACAAAATCATTGATAATGCATCAATGATAGATCCAAAAATATTTATTTAATCTCCTCTAGAGACAGTGATAGACTGTGACAATATAATGCTCAGAGAGACTTGGATTTAATTATAATCCAATTCTAATTGTGATTGTGACCACAGAGAGCCTGGAAGCAGTCTGTACTGGACCACATATACTGATTTATAATTCAGCTTTATGCTGGTTTCCACAGTTCTCACCACAGCTGCCACTGTGTCCCTCAATACTGAAGGGCATGTCCTGGCCAGGTTTTTCTGGCATTGAACAGGTACTGGCTACTTCTGGGTTCCCCTCACTTGCCTGCCACCTCCTGGTCTCCCTGAGTCACTGACAACTATGACCTGTAGATGCCACTCTGTGGAGCCCAAGATCAAAAGACACTGTGAAGACTACAAAAGGGAAAAGGCCAGCACTTTGGGAGGGTGAGGAGGGTGGATCAGGAGGTCAGGAGATCGAGACCATCCTGGCCAGCATGGTGAAACCCCGTCTCCACTAAAAATACAAAATTAGATGGGCTACTCAGGAGGCTGAGGCAGAAGAATCACTTGAACCTGGGAGGCAGAGGTTGCAGTGAGCCAAGATCATGCCACTGCACTCCAGCCTGGCAACAGAGCAAGACTTTGTATAAAAAAAAAAAAAAAAGAGAGAGAGAGTGAGAGAAAGAAGTTCATGTCGCCTGGACTAGCTCCATCCAGCAGTGCAAGGGAAAGATGCCGTGTTGACCAAATGTGCTGCTGATTTTCTGAATCTTGAGTGAGGATGGATCCACAATGGAGTCACAGTGGATTCTTCCTAACACCCAAACCCACAGAGAAAATGACTTCATAATCAGTGACTTCAGCAAACGCAGACCCTGGGAAGTCATGGTTTCTCATACACCATCATTTCTTTGTAGCAACTTCACATCTGGTTCTATCAAGAGGAATCCTTGTGGGTTAGGTGCCTTTGGAAAGATGTTTGTGTACTTCAGAGGATGGGAAATCTATTTTAAAGTACACTTCAAAGCCCTGACTTTATAAGGTTCTTAAGTATTGCCGGTTCCCAAACATTGCCAGTTGATACATAGAAATCTAGATATTAGATTCAGCTTTATCCTCTGGATATAACATGACAATTGTTAAAACTTTTCTCGCTTCCAACAATGATGCATAAAATGATGACATACCAAAGCAAAGCCTTGAGCAATCTTGAGAGAATCCCAGGGGCATATTTTACTCTGTTGAACATGTAGTCTGACATTGAGGGACCAATGTTGAGTGCCGTTCAAGAAAGTTTGGTGGGGATCCATCCGTTTCCTTAGTGAGCAATGTTTCCTCAGTTGAATGTGATCAGTTTTCCTATGTAGAAACTAGAGAACATTACCTAATCCCTGGTTTCCATAACAACCATTGAGCACCACCAGCACTGGGGGTGACACTGACAGGTCCTCACAGGACAAGTACTGTTGCCCCAAGTAAGGGCCTGCAGTGGAAGGGATGCAGAGCTTTAGCAGCAGGAACCTGAAACCTGAAACCTCACCACCAGGCACAGCATATAATCTGCCACTTCATGAGAAGTTTAACTTAATCATTGATCCACAATTGTGACACACTTTTAACCAAAGCCTAAAGGGAAATGAAGGCCTCATTACAGGTTCAACACAGTTTACAAACATCAGCCACAAAGACCCAGACTTATCTTAGGGATTGCTTTTGGCCTGGCGGGATTGAAGATGGGGATGCATTGGAGCTCTGCAGAGAACAATATGACCCTCTGTCACCCTGAAGGAAACAGAAGTTCCATACCAGGCATCATAGAATCTGATTTTGCCCACACATACTGCAGGCTCCTGAAGGAGAAAGTTCTCACCGGTACAAACCCTAAAAGTTAGTTTTCAGGAACAAATAGCTCTGTTTACTACAGTGAAATTTTTGAATCAAAAAGCAAATTTATAATGTCTAATAACAACATAAGTGGGTAGTAGGATCTTTGGAAGTTTTGGAATACTGTAGCACAGCGATGTTTCTGTTTTTTTAAAACAAAGTTATTTAATTTGTATAATGTTTCACAAATACTTAAAATAATACAAAATTACATTTTGAGCTTTGCATTGTCTTGTTAACATATGGTGATGCAGATAGAACGCAATTTATACTTTTAGATACAAATAATTGATTTTGAATTCAAGGAACTTGTTTGAATCAAGTACTTCTTTGGCATTTAATGAGTTTCTTGCAAACAGGTATCAACTTTTAAATTTGAGATACATAATTTTGCCTTACAACCATCCAATTAATTGCTTTTTAAACATTAGATTGTGATAGTTGTATTAGTTTCCTGTGGTTGCTGCAACAAATTGCCATAAACTTGATGGTTTAAAACAACAGAAATCTATCTTCTCACAACCTTGGAGGCCAGGAGCCCCAAATCAAGATCTCAGTAGGGCTATGCCCCTTCCAGAGGATCTAGGGGAGAATCAGTTCCTTGCATCTGTCATATTCTGGTGGCTGCAGGCATTCCTTGGCTTGTGGCTGCATCACTCCAATCTCTGCCTCTGTCTTCACATCACCTTCTCCTCTGTGTGTCTGTGAACCTCAAATTCCCTATGGGTACTGGGCTTAATACTTGGGTGATGAAATAATTTGTACAACAAACCCCTGTGACACAGGTTCACCTATGTAACAAACCTTCAACGTGTACCCTCAAACCTAAAATAAAAGTTTTTAAAAATTCCCTCTCCTTGTCTTTTATAAAAATACATGTCATTGCATTTAGGGCTCACCCAGATACTCCAGGCTAGCTCATCCTCTCAACATTCTTAAATTAATCATATCTTTTGCCATACAAAGTAATATTCACTCTTTTGTCATATAAAGTAATAGTTACATGTTCCAAGGATTTGACATGGATATCCTTGGAAGGGTTGTCTTCCAGACTACCAAAGTAGTACATTAGTTTCCTATGGCTGTTATAACAAATTACCACAAATTTGGTGACTTAATATAAAACATATGTATTCACTTACCGCTCTTGAAATCAGCAAATTAAAATAATTTTGAGTGGACTTCAGTTCACTCAAAATTACTTTCAGTGGACTAAAATCAAGATGTCAGATGGGCTGGTTCCTTCTGTAGGCTCTAGGGGAGAACCCATTCCCCAATCCTGTCCAGCTTCTAAGGCTGTTTATGTTACTTGGCTTGTAAGCCCTTCCTCCACCTTCAAAATGAATCACTTCAGTCTCTCCTGGCATCATCACATTCCCTTCTCCTCTGACTCTGACACTTCCTGCCTCCTCTGATAAGGACCACTGTGATTATATTGGGCCCACCCAGCAAATCCAAGATAATCTCTCTCAAGATTCTTAATCACATTTACAAAGTCCTTTTTCCCAAATAAGGCAACACTCACAGTTTCTGGGGATTAGGATGAGATTAGGGACGATTAACGAGATTACTCAGGTAGTAATTTGTGAGTAAAATTATTATAGAGAGGCAAATTATTTATATCTTATAGTTTGCAGAGCAATGTTGTTTACTGTGACTTTGGCATGTATTTTTAGCAATTAAAATGCTTTAAGGATTTATACCACATATTGATGGCTTTTGATTCTTTTGTATTCAAGACTATGCACATTTGGGGCTGTGTTTTCTAGAAACATACACAGTAACAGTATCTGAGCAGAACTTAGAAATACTGTATTACTATGAGAAAGTACATTTCGTTAATCTAACACACATTATGATTTATATTTGGCTCACAAGTTGATATGCCTTCTCAGATTTTTTCAGCTGTTTCCTTCTTTCTCTTTCTAAGTCGGTGCTCTACCTGGACTGGGTCAACTTGCCTCTTCAGGACTAGAAGAAACACCATGTTGCAAGGCATGGTATAGAAATACAACTGACTGCTACATATTGATTTTGTATCCTGCAACTTTGCTGAATTTGTTTATTAGTGCTCTCTCTCTCTCTTCCTCTGTGTGTGTGTGTGTGTGTGTGTGTGTAATCCTTAGGGTTTTCTGCATATATGATCATGCTGTCTTCTAACAAAGATAATTCTACTTCTTCCTTTCCATTTTGGGTGTTTTACTTTATTTTTCTTGCCTAGTTACTCTGGCTAGAACTTCCAATACTAAGTTGAACAGATGTGGTGAATAGGTATATTTGTCTTGTTTCTGATGGTAGAGAAAAAGCCTTCCTCATTCTTTCTCCTTGAATATGATGTTAGTGATGGGCTGCTCATATATCGCCTTTATTGTGTTGAGGTAGTTTCCTTCTATTCCTAGGTTGTTGAATGTTTTTATCAGAAAGGGTGTTGAATTCTGTTAAATGCTTTTCTGTGTCAATCGAGATGATTATGTGGACCATGAAAGTTTTGAAGTAGGAGAGAGACAGATGACATTTTCCTTTACAAAGACCTCTCTGGTTGCAGGCAGTCTTTGGAGGAGAACAAGACTGAAGGCAAAGAAATGTGTTGGGAAATTTTGGCAGAAATCCCAGGGACAGGCAATGATGATCTGAGCTGGGGAAGTGGCCACACACTACGATTCGCACCCCAGACAAGAGCAGAAGCCTGAGATGGAGTAGCTCCATAGGCCTAGGTGGGAGAGAAGGCTGAACCAGAGACCAGAAGCGTGCTGAGCTGAGTACTAAGCCCGCTGCTGCAGGTCAGTTAGAGGTCCAGAGGGAAAGGAGCTGTGGGTCTCCCGGCTTGGGGCACTGTCACGCAAACTAGGTTTGCGGGGATTAAGCTCTAAGTATTCGTGCACTTGGAAGGAGCGACAGCAGATGGGGAGCGCTGAGCGAGGACAGGGATGTGCAGTCTGCAGAGAGAACAGGAGCCGCCCTCGGTCGGCTAGAGGGCTGCAGTGCAGTGCCAAAGGAGGGACTCTGGAAGAGCAAAGCTGAGATCTGCAGTGAAAGTGACAGCAGAAGAACTTGAGGAAAAATACATTTCTCTGCTTTTTCGACTGTATTTGGTCTCTCTTTTCTAGCACTGGAGCCCATCTTCCTCTTTTCTTCCTTCTGGCCCTTTCTTCAATTGGACCATGTTTTCCTCCTATTGAAACACCCTCCTATTGTGACACTGCAAACCTCCAATAAATCGCCAACACTGTCCCTTGAGTCTCCAGAGTGTCTCACTCTTTCCAGACACGCTGGTGATTATTCATCTGCTTCATCTGCCTCCTTCCTGAGCTATGGCTCCAGGTGGAAGTGGTCAGCCTTCCTACATAGAACCTAGACACACATTACCCAATCCATGGCCCATAGCAAACTTCCAGAGCTCAGCAGCAGCAGCTGCTGGGTAGGAGGCCCCCGCCAACACCCAGCACCAGCAGCCCCCACTAGAGTTTTACTGCACCATATAAAGGACATGGAGTGAGAAGAGTAAACAATGTCTTGCAATAGGTAACTGAAACCCCACAGATTACCCACAATGTGTAGCCCTGCTCCACAAAAGCCACGATGAACTGAAAGTAGAGAATCCTGAATTTGGGGCACAGTTGCAGAATTCCGATATTCTCTCAGCCCTGACACACTTTAGTGGATTTCACTGCCCTTAGCCACAGGAGCCTCTAAGCTCATCTTAGGGTTTACTCCTGGTCAGAGATTAGGTGGGAGTGAGGGGTGGATTGGGAAGCAGTGAAGGCTCTACAGGGTGACGTATCTAAGTATGCAATTGCCAAAAGCATAAGTCTCTCATCAGGCACCACAGAAACAGTTTTTTCAGCCAGTGCTGCAGACTCCTGCTAGACAGGGTGAATCCACATCACCTACAAAATTCACGAGTCAGTTTTGCACACTGGGCCGTTGAACTCTGAAGCAAACTGGGAAGTTCTAAAAGCAATAGGAATTGGGGTTACTTAGTAATTAAGATATAGCAACTTATTCCTGGAAAAAAAGTATTTTCTATAATAGTTCTTAAATCATTAAAACGTCTGCTAAATTTTGAGTTTTGATACATTCCCTGCTTAAAGTGAACACAATAAATTCTAAACTGAAATGCAGCAAGTGGGGTTTTTGTTTTGTTGTGTGGTGAGAAGAAATGCTGTTTTACTCGAGGTGGTTGTTTCAACGACGCACTTCTCTCCTGCATTAATTTAAAAAAAATTACAAACAAATCTCAAACTTCACATGAGGATAAATAGGGTTTCTTCTACAGCTCTCCAGTTTGTTTTTAAATATAATATTTTAAGTATGTAATTTATCGGAGTAAAATTTATTAGAATAATTCATTAGAAGCCACTTGTTTAGCTCCATATTTGTTCAGCAATGTTGCATATTGGGACATTGGAATATTTTTTGTGTAAGCAAAAATCCTTTATATTTATACGTGTATCGACAGCTTCCACTTTATTTGTGTACTACATAGCGTGTGATTTTTGACTCTGCTTTGTAGAAAAACACATTTCAACAGAATATCTCCAGCTGATTTTATAGTTTCTTACAGCATTTTTGAAAAATATCACTCTGCAAACGTGCTGCCTCAGTACTGTCCTTGAAAACAGTCGAAAATCTTAATTTAGTTATTTTTTTTTCAATTTTTTCAATTTTTTCAATTACACTGAAAACTCGCATTGTACTATGTCTCAGCACTCCCAGATTTACTCAGTGTTTGCTGAAGGAGGTTTGCATCCTGCTGGGAAGACGCATTTGGCAAGGCTTTTCCTCTTCTTCAGGAGATCGGCTAAGATGCAGTTTGATTTGTAGTTCGGTACTATTGCTTTCACGGAAAGTGTCACGCAAGCTTCATTTCCTTTTATGGCCTATATATATGCAGAACTGCGCTGAGTGTACCAGTTATTCTCCTTACATGGATAATAAATAAATTTTAAATTGTAAAAGATAAAGGTTGAGACTGGAATGGCGCTTGATGAGCTTTGGCACACCCTGTGGGGGCGGTCAACTTTGGGGATCCCAGGACACGTAGCACTAAGGACCGCTCCAATCGACAGAGGGGCGTCCAGCCGTCGGGGGCGGGCGGAAAGGAAGGCACAGCGGAGTGGAACCGCGCAGCGCACGCCACAAGCACCAGGATTTCATTTCACTGGGGCAGCGCGTGGGGTCCCGACGGGAGGGATGCGGGGTCAGCGCTTCTGCCTAGATAACGCGACGCGGGGACCTTGGGGAGACAGGTCTGTGATAACTCGACCCTGGACCACACCCTATGGCGGATTTGGTAGGTAACCTCGGTGAAGGGGGGAGTCTTCCAAAGAAGGAATGCAGGAGCTGCGTCTTCCAAAGAAGGAATGGAGGAGCGGCAGGAACACAGAGGAAGGCGGAGGGGCGAGGAGGAGGTTTCTTTCTGGGGCTCTATTTGGTAGGTTGATTGGTTTTCTCTGGGCTACAGCCCCCTCTAGCGTTTCTTATGCGCTGGGACTTCTGCCTTCTTTCATAGGTCAGTAAGGGTTTTTTTCTATTTCTAATATTTGTGGAAAATTTTCACCACTGGACTCATCCTTCTTTACAATTTGGATTTCAGTTCCCCTAATAACGTTTTAACAATATCTTAAGAGTCAAGGAGGAAAGATTTTGTGCCCAGTTGGCCACCTTGAAGGCAGAGGCGTCTGTCATGGTCTTTCTTTTTCTCTTTTTTCTTGAGAAAGGGTCTCGCTCTGTCGCCCAGGCTGTGGTGCAGTGGCGCCATCTCGGCTCACTGCAATCTCTGCCTCCCGGGTTCAAGCGATTCTCCCACCTCAGCCTCTCAGGTAACTGGGACTACAGGTATGCGCCACCACGCCCGGCTGATTTTTGTGTTTTTAGTAGAGACGGGGTTTCATCATGTTGGCCAGGCTAGTCTCGAACTCCTGACCTCAAGTGATCCGGCCTCCTTGGCCTTCCAAAGTGCTGGGATTACAGGCACAAACCACCGCACCCGGCCACTCATAGTCTTTTAGTAGGAGTATATTTAAGGGGCAGTCTTTGCATAATAATAGGAGAATTGAAGTTTTAAAGTCAGATAAGTTGTGCGAGAGTCTCAACTAGTCCGCTGTCCAGTCATGAGATCTTAGACACGTCATGTAAATTATCTAAGCATTAATTAACTTATGTATAAAATGGATGTAATCATGTTACCATCCACACTGGGGTTTTAGGAAGGACCGATGTAATAAAGGGAGGGCTTTATTAATAACCTTCTCTTTATCTCACTAATCATTGCTAATTTCTGCTGTTTCCTAGGTGTCTCAAAACTAAACTCATGCCTCTGGCAGTTATTTGTGGAGCAAATATTATGTGCCAGGCAATGTTCAAGTGCTGAGAAAAATATAAGGCATAAAACACATAGTTACAAAACATAGCTATCAGACAGAGCCCCTGCTTTCCAGGAACCCACAGTTGTAAAGAGGAGACAATAAATGCAATGACCTTGCAGTGTGATAAGAGCTAACACAGCAATTTATGCAGGTGTTGTGGGTATTACAGGGGAGGAAGCCTGCCTGGAGCATCAGGCTCAGAGGATCTGTGTAGAGCAGGGATTCTCAACCTCAGCGTTACAGTGAGTACTTGATGTTTCAGGCCACATAACTCTTTATTGTGGAGGTTGTCCTGTAAATTGTAGGATGTTTAGCAACATTCCTAGCCTCTACCCACTAGATGCCTGTAACACCAACACCTTCCTGATTGTGACAACATCAAAATATATCCAGACATTGCCACATGTCCTGAGGGAAGGGGGTTCACTTGAGAACTGATGTGTAGAAGATAGCTGAGACATCACTCAGAGTTGGATTTCCCAGAGGCATCTTTATTTGGCAGAATGACAGATTAGTTTTTCTTATTTTTAAAGACGGGATTTCACTCTGTTGCCCAGGCTGGAGTGCAGTGGCGAGATCATAGCTCACTGTAACCTGGAACTCCTGGGCTCAAGCGATCCTCCTGCCTCAGCCTCCCAAGTAGCTGGGACTATGCATGTCACTAGGCCCGGCTGATTTTTTTTTTAATTTTTATAGAGATAGCGCCTCAATATGTTGCCCAGATTGGTTCTAAACTCCTGGCCTCAAGCGATTCTTTTGCCTCAGCCCCCCAAAGTGCTAGGATTATAGACACACATGGCCCAAGTTAGTTTTTAATTTAGTTTTTTGTTTATATTAATATATAATTGGTTCCTTTGTTATTTTAATGTATTAGAAAAATACTAGTTTTAAATTGAAAGTAGAGATACAATTCTTTTCTTTAAATATATTTGGGCAAAAGTGATACTGCAGAAAACAGTGAATGAAAGAAGATAAAAACAATAGCATCCAACCACATACAAGTCCTGACAATTTTGTAACTATCATGCTATTTCACTCTCCACTGCAAACTCAGCCTCCTGTTGTACTTGTTTGGATTAGGACCTGGAGAGTGCAGAGTTTGGGGCAGGGTGCAGGCAGAGCAGTTCAAGGCAAACCTTCCCTCCAGGGCAGGGCCCCCTACTCCTGCTTAGAAATACCCAGCATTCCAAAGAGAATGTTCCCCTTCTTCTCCCTAGGCCTTGATCTCTCCTTGGTTTCAGGCAAAGGACTTCAAGACTGAGGAATTCTTACAAGTTTTCCTTAGGCTGCACTGCCCTTGAGCTCTGAAGCAAAATTACGTTTGATGCCCAAGAACATAGGAGGTGAGAGTGAAGGGAAGAGGTGGGTGCAGCTGCTTTTACCAGAGAGTTGGCGGTGCTAAAAGCCTGAGCTGGGGAGCTCGCTGCCATCTCTGCCTAGGAGTCCTCTGTCTCAGGAGCTTTAATCTTCCTAAAACATGATTGGCTCACTCACTGCACACGTTTTCAGTCCATCTGCCCCTGACCCACATCCTTGCCTAGGTCCCCCTTGAAGCACAGCAAGGACAATTTGGGTCAGAGAAGTTAAGCCTCATTTGTTTTAGGAAATGAAAAAATAGACATATCAGGATGGGTCAATCCATTTGTTAAGTAGAGATGGGACCGTTTGGGATACAATACCCATAAATCACATTTGTGCAGTTCTTGATTTTTTTTTTTTTACATTAGGCTGGAATAAGACTACAAAATTTCTCAATTTTTTTATAAAGGTGTTTCCCACCCACTGGAGCCTGACCACTTGAAAGAGTTACTTCTGTACACATTTACATAAATCATTATTAGGGCCCTATAACAGAAACACACACACACACACATACACAGAAACCGTTATTTATCAGGTGATCAAAACCCAAAGATTTGATGATGCCTTATTGTGCTGGTGAAGGTAAGGTAATCAGACACTATTTTGTGTCTTGTTTTGTATGGGGAGTAAATTGATGTAATTTCTGTGAAAGGCAACTGGTATTTTCCATCAAAATTTAACTGCAAAAGTATTTGATCTGGCAACTTAACCTTTAGAAATTTATCATGTGGATAAAGACCCAGGTGTAAAATAAAATGTGAGCAAAAAGCTTAAGCATAGTACTCTTTTCACTTCACTTTAAAGTCGTTTTTATCGTGAACAATAACATGACATAAATGCAAAAAAGTACAGCTAAATGAAGCATACATGCAATGTACCTACTATCTTACTTGAGAAATTAAACGTTGCTGGCAGCCCAGGTGCCTCTACTCCAGCAATCACATCCCCTCCCAATTGGCTACTACCCTGAATTTTCAGGCGATGTTTTCTTGCTTTATTTTCAAAGTTTTCCCACCTAAGAAGAAATCACTAAATAATAAATTATATGTCTGTATGTATATTCATATTTTATTGTTTTTGAACAGTACATAAATGGAATCATACAATATGTGTTCTTTTGTATCTGGAGTTTTGCTGAATAGTATGTTTTTTTTGGTTTGATTTTTTTCTTTTTTTTTTTTTGTTTTGAGACAGTTCGCTCTTGTTGCCCAGGCTGGAGAGCAATGGCGTGATCTCGGCTCACTGCAACCTCTGCCTCCCGGGTTCAAGCGATTCTCCTGCCTCAGCCTCCTGAGTAGCTAGGATTACAGGCATGTGCCACCAAGCCAGGCTAATTTTGTATTTTTAGTAGAGATGGGGTTTCTCCATGTTAGTCAGGTGGGTCTCGAACTCCTGACCTCAGGTGATCCACCAGCCTCAGCTTCCCAAAGTGTTGGGATTACAGGCGTGAGGCACCACACCCAGCCACTGAATAGTATGTTTTGAAGACTCATCCATGCTGGATGTATAGCCATACCTAAGCTTTACATATTGTTTATGGGCAGAACATTTGAAAGAAGGTAAATACTCAACAGGGAGCAGACTAAATAAATTATGGTATACCCACACAATAGAATATTATGCAGTGATGAAAAATAATGAAGCTGATGTTAGATACTAAAATGGTAAGAGCACTAAGTTTTTTTGCTAAATAAAAAGCAGTATATGACCCATAGAATAGTATTCTACCATTTGTATGAAAGAAAAATTTAAATCAATACCAACTTGTTTATATATATTTACAAAAATATCCAGAATATTTTTACCGTATTCTCCTCTGGAAGATAAAATGGGTAGCTGGAAAATTAATTCCCCTATCTATTTGCATACTTTCTGAATTTCCTGCTACTTGCATGTATTACCTATTGAAAATGAGGCTAGAGAGTGAAACAAAATATTGCCCAGTCGCACAGCTGGCCAATGTCAGAGCCTGGACTCAGCCTGTCCCAGTTATAGGGATTTTAGGCCAGATCTCTTTCTACAACTGTAAAGCCAAGAAGGAATGAATCAACAATTAGCTTTATACTCCATAACCTGGGAAAGCCTAAAAGCATACTCCAACTGAGCCTGAATGTTGGTTTGTTCATTTTCCCCACAGTTCCTCTTCAAGAGACAGTTTCAATCCCACAGTTCTGGTTAAATTCCACTGGGCTGAAACGGGTAATTTCAGAATGACCCACCACAAAGCAGGACACATCCCTAAATGACAGGCTTTGGTCAGGATGGCACAATAAGTTCATGCTTAGGCAAAGACTCTCTGCCCCAAATTACATGGCAATAAGAAAAATGTAAAAAGAGAAAAGTTATAGTTGAGTTAAGGACAAGAGAAACACCACTCTCCATGAAGAATGGGTCATCAACAGAAAGCAAAGGCAGTGGGAAGGGCTGATGCTTCCAGCATGCTGTTTGTCAGGAGACTGGCTGAAGGCAGGCTCTCTCCTGAAAGAAATTGCCACTGACCACTGCTTGCAGCTGAGGCTTCATAAGAAGCTCCAGGCCCAGGCAGATGGGAGGACTCAAGTGCAGCTTGGAGAGGAGGCATTCACTGAAGCCTTAGAGAACCAGCAGATTACTTCACACAATCTGTAGAAATCAACTCAAAATGTATTAAAGGCACAAATGTACCAGGTAAAACTCTAAAAGAATTCTTTTCCATTACAAGAAAACAAACAAACAAACAAACAAAACAACCAAAACCTTAGGTCTTAGTCAGCCATGGCTGCTATAACAAATACCACAGACTGGGTGGCTTATACAACAGACATTTATCTCTCACAGTTTTGGAGGTGACAGCAGATTCAGTTCCAGTGAGGATCCTCTTCCTGGCATACAGATGACTGCCTTCTTTCGGTGTCCTCACAAGGTAGGGAAAGAGAGCTCCAATCTCCCTCTTCTTAAAAGAGCACTAATCCCATCACGGAGGCCCCCCCCTCCTGACCTCATCTAAACTTAATTACCTCCCCAGGGTCCCACCTCCAGATACCACCACACTGGGGGTTAGGGCTTCAACATATGAATTTTGGGGGAACACAAACATTTAGCCCATAACACCCTTCAAAGCAAAAAGAAAAGAACACCATGAAATCTAGTGGAAAAATAGGGGGAAACATTTGAATAGGCAGTTCAAAGAAAGAGAAAAATGAATGATGATGACTTATTTGAAGCTACACAGTATCACTGGCAATAAGAGAAACTCAAGTTACAACAAGAAAGGGAAAGAGTTGATACTGATTAGATTGTGACAAAGATTAAGAAGTCAGTTAAAATCAACTGAGCATGTAAAGAAAGATGAACTTGGTATATTGCTAGGGAGTATAGACTGTGGAAGCTGAAGGAAAATTTGACTTTCCTCAGGTAATTTCCATACACACAAACCTAGAATCCAATTTGTAATTGTGGCTAAGTACTCCAGAGGCCCACTCTCATAGGTCCATGGTCTAGAATTCTACTACAGAGATATATATGGTAACATATAGTTGGAAGCAAACTAGTTGACTATCCATAAGAAAAGGGATAAACAAAATGTTTTAAAAGCATAATCTATGGCAGTCCAAAACACTGAATTAGATGTATATACAGTACAGAGAGCTTAAAAAACGTTGTCAGCCGGGTGCGGTGGCTCACGCCTGTAATCCCAGCACTTTGGGAGGCCGAGGCGGGTGGATCACGAGGTCAGGAGATCGAGCCCATCCTGGTTAACACGGTGAAACCCCGTCTCTACTAAAAATACAAAAAATTAGCCGGGCATGGTGGCGGGTGCCTGTAGTCCCAGCTATTCAGGAGGCTGAGGCAGGAGAATGGCATCAACCTGGGAGGCGGAGCTTGCAGTGAGCCAAGATCGCGCCACTGCACTCCAGCTTGGGCAAGAGTGAGACTCTGTCTCAAAAAAAAAAAAAAAAAAAAAAGTTGTCAAAAAGATAAAATGGTCTCTGCAAGCTCCATGTCCTAGGTATAGTCCTCCCCATCCTGCTGCCAGATCAATGTGATCTCTTCAGGGTGGAAGCCCAGGGCCCAGCACCTCAGGGTGGTATTACAGTCAGAGATGGGGTCATAGTGGGTGCTGGTGGGGAATGCCTTTGGGGGTCCGAAGAAAAGGGTCAGAGGAAATTTAGAACATTCATTTCCCTTCCATAGGCCATTCAACAGGGCTCATTGATCGCTCTAAGAAGGAAAGGATTTTAGGAAGAGAAACTCAGATACCCACATCTACTCTAAGAGTCCAGGGGGAACACTTTCCTGTTTCAAAGCAGAGTGAGGCAGGATATAGTTGGAGGCACCAGGTCTGAAAGGAGGTGAGGGGGTCCTAATTAAGTAGTGTCAAGGTCACAGTGGGCAGGGCCAGGGTTAGAACAAGCTCCAAAAAGAATCAGGATGGAGGCAGAAGATAAGGTCTGAGAGAGACAGTTTGGTTCTTGAGGAAGTAGCTGCAAGATCATGAAAATTAAAAGCTTTTATACATCAAAATATACTATCAAGAGAGTGAAAAGACAATCCACGGAATGAAAGAAAATGTTTGCAAATCATATATCTGATAAGGGTCTAGTATTCAGAATATATAAAGAATTCCTAAAACTCAAAACATAAAGGCAACCTATTTTTTTTAAATGGGCAAAGGTCTTGAAAGGACCTTTTTCCAAAGAAAATATACAAATAGCCAACAAACACATAAGATGCTCAACATCATTACTCATTAGAGAACTGTATATCAAAACCACAAAGAGGTTTTGTGGTTTTTGTCTAGTGTTTTGGATTGACTTCTAGCGGTTTTATACCCACTAGAATGTTATTATAGGATGGCTATAATAAACAACAAAACAAACTGAAAGTAAGTGTAGATTAGGATGGAGAGAAATTAGAACCATGTGCATTGCTGGTGGGAGTGCAAAATGGTGCAGCAGCCATGAAGAGCAGTTTGGTAGTTCCTCAAAAAGTTAAAATATAAAACTATCAAACGAACCGCACCTATATCCTCCAACAAAAAAACTAAAAACAGATACTGAAACAGAACCTTGTACACAAATGTTCATAGCAGCACTGTTCACAATAGCCAAAAAGCAGAAATAACGGAAGTGTCCATTGATGGCTGAATGGATAAACAAAATGTGGTATATCCATATAATCGGCTACTATTCAGCCATAGAAAGGAATGAAATACTGACATTTGCTACAGCACGGATGAACCCTGAAAACATTATGCTAAGTGAAAGAAATCAGACACAATAAGCTACAAATTGTATGATTCCATTTATATGAAATATACAGAATAGACAAATCCGTAAAGGCAGAAACAGATTAGTGGTTGCTAAGGGCTGGAATAGGGAAAAATTGGAAGTGACTGTTTAATGGAAACAGGTTTCTGTTTGGGATGATGAAAAAGATCTGGAACTAAATAGTGGTGGTGATTGTATAATATTGCAAATGTACTTAATGCCACTGAATTGTACACTTTAAAATGGCTAAAATGATACATTTTAAGTTAAGTATATTTTACCACAATAAAAAGAGGAACCACTGGGGGGCACTGGGTGAGGATGTAGGGGACATTTCAGTATGCTCTTTGCAGCTTCCAGTGAATCTATATTTCAAAATAGTTTTGAAAATTTATTAAGCAGTTACTAAGCATAGGCACTATCTTCATAGTGATATAATTGTTTTAAATTAGAGATACACACTGATTTATTATGGTGACAATAACTCAGATTCCTCAATGTTCAAGACCTGTCTTTTCTAACGTTTTTGCTACTTGAATTCAAAATAACAGTCTCTCAATCCTTCTCTCTTTTGCCTCCTGACAATAACGATACTGGTTTTCACTAGTTTTGAAAGTGCTAAATGAACTTAATGTTCAGGGAGTGACTAAGGCATAGTTTCTATGGTTACTGGAAGACCTCATTTCTTGATTCGATTTGAATAACCTAAGTTTCTTCTCTCTCCTTTAATTTTATTTAGAGTCCTAAAAGGGCATAAATTTTGAGTTATTGAACTTCTAGAAACACTTGAGAAAGCTACTGCATTCCAGGGATTCAGTTTATTTTCATCTTTCATCTAGGAAATCCATTTTTGCATATAATATGCCACTATCACATTATATATCTTTATGATGTATCTGTATTAATACATAGAATCATGTATCAATGTATAGAATATAAATGTTATATATGTAATCATATATTTATAATTAAACATGAAAAAGGAAAGAGGAAGAGGGCTGTGGAAAGAGGAAGAGGGCTGTGATCTTTAGAGTTATATATTGATAGAAACCCACAACAAATAAAGAAACCACAAAGACTCACAAGTGAACCAGATTCCAGATACTGTTTTGTCTGCCGCTCATCCTGACTGGGACCTGATTCCCATGATCTCCCACATGAGAGGAATCACTTAGTGACTGAGCCATGAAATCGAAACTCAGTTTCCCCACTGCTATCCCACTGTAGACATGTTCAGTCACATGCAATCATAACACACTCAAGACAAACTTAGCCAAAGATCAGATTAAGTGTGCAAGAGTCGAGCTCAGTCATCCCAAATTAAACTTACTGGAGGAGCCATGGAAGGTGAGCTGAGGATGCAAAGGACCCAGGTATGCACGAGGTGTTACTTTCAGGCTACACATTTTTGTTGGACTGAAAGTTGACCCAGGTAGGCACTATTTCCAGAAATAAAATGTCAAAGGATGACTCAGAAACATTTACTTACATGTACACTGTTTAGTATTTTCTACGCAAATAATTTACTGACATGTGAAGGAGGCAGTGGAGAGACCAAGTCAGGGACAAAGGCAAAACAAGAATGTGGTAGATGAGTGATCCCCAACCTTTTTGGCACTAGGGACAGGTTAACCAGGGACTGGTTTTGTGAAAGGCAATTTTTCCATGGAGCAGGAAGGGTATGGTTCTGGGATGAAACTATTTCACCCCAGATCATCAGCAATTAGATTATGATAAGGAGCATGCAACCCAGATCCCTTGCATGCGCAGTTCACAGTAGGGTTCATGCTCCTATGTGAATCTAATGCTGCCACTGATTACTCAGGCAGTAATGCTGGCCCATCCCTCCCTTCCACCACTGCTCACCTCCTACTAGGCAGCCTGGTTCCTAACAGGACACAGCCCAGTACCAGTCCACAGGGCCTGGGGGTTGGGGACCCCTGTGGTAGATTGTTACACTGGTGATCCCCAGGGAACTAATGAACCTCCCAGCGTTCAAACTCCAGTGTAGCCCCTTCCACATTGAATCTGGCATTGGCACTGTGCCTTGCTTTGGCCAAGGGAACATTAGCAAGTGTGACCCCAACAGAGGCTCGATAAACACTTTTTTTTTTTGAGACAGTCTCACTCTGTCACACAGGCTGGAATGCAGTGGCGCGATCTTGGCCCACTGCAACTCTGCCTCCTGGGTTCAGGTGATTCTCCTGCCTCAGCCTCCCGAGTAGCTGGAATTACAGGTGCCTGCTACCACGCCCTGCTAATTTTTTTGTATTTTAAGTACAGACAGGGTTCCACCATGTTGTCCGGGCTGGTCTCAAACTCCTGAACTCAAGTGATCCACCTGCCTCGGCCTCACAAAGTGCTGGGATCACAGGTGTGAGCCACAGCATCCAGCCAAACACTTACATATTGGGATGCTTTTGTAGAAGCCAGAGGGGATGTAAGAAATACAACTACCCTGAGTCAGCCATGCTGTGGGAACATCAAAGCTAGCGAGGGAGCAAGGCTACTTGGAGAAGCAATGAGGTGCTAAACACGTGAGTGAAATTTCTTGGGTCTTCCAGACCACCTACGAGATAGCAGCTAAATGCAGCTATTTAAGCTGATTTCATATGTAACAGGAGAACCACCCAGCCAAAGTCTTTCAGAATTCCTAGTTCACAGAACCAGAGGAAATAATAAATCATTATGTTTTAAGCTCCAACATGATGAAGTGATTTTTTTATACAGCTATCGATAAGCAAACACAGGGTTTATAAGAGAAATAAAAGAAAACTGCATTCTGGAAGTAGTAAATTTTGTTTGTATGCTTTTGGTATAACCTTATTAGCTGGCATTTAGCAAAAAGGTCAGTCTAAGAATTCTGTACTTCAGTAGGCTTTCTAGGGATATCGAAGAAAACATTTTAGTTGTTTATTCTTAAGAAAACTCTGAGAGTTTACCTATGGGACATAATTGCAAAATGTCTGTCGGTGTCCTTTGTTAGCATCTTTGACTTTGTTAGTTCAGGTTTGCGCCATTTCCTTTATCTGAATTTTATTAAAGACAACTTTGAGACTGGGAAAAGACCTGAGTCTTTTCTGACTATGAGTGGGCCTAGAGGATACAAACACTCTCCGCTGCCCCATATTTCTCCCCTTGTTTAAAAACAGCAGCAGTGGCATCATTCTCTCCAGCTCTTCAGTCAGCAATTATGGCTGCCCAAACATGGAATGCCCTAAGGTGGCTCAGGACATTGATAGGGAACTGGGGCCATGGCCTTGGAAATGCAAGCTGCTGAGTGAGGCCAAGTGGTCTATGGAAATCACGATCTCCCTGCATGGTGGGATTACAAAGGTGACCAAGAAACACAGACAGAAACAGAAGAAAATGGAATTAAGAGTTGAAATACCCACAGAACAGAATCATGGAATGTAAAACAAGTAAACTTTATTTGGGAGATGGGGTGAATCCATCACTGGTTACTGGAACCCTGAGTCTGCATTTTCTCCTCAGGAAGGCGGTCTGAAATGGAGTGGGCTGTGTTTGGCAAGGGTTGTAGTGGTTTGGAATCTGAGTAAATGAGCAGAATCAGAGAAACAGAATTAGTTTTCTGACTGTGGTACTTCTCACACCAACCCAGAACCTGTCCATGTGTCCTCTTCACTCTACGTTCTCCATTGTCCCTATCCTCTGGGGTGTCCTCCATTTTCTCCCTCACCTCTCACCTGCTTGGCTCCCGAGCTGGGCCTCAGGCCTGTCTCCCCAGAGTAAATGCCCGGGATCATTGAGGAAGCGTTGGCTGCGCTGGCATGTTAGGCAGGTCTGTACGGTCCAGCGCTGTCCCCTGCAGCCTAGGGTGAACATGGGAAAAAGACTGTCCACGTTTAGAAGTAACGGTCTCTTGCTGCCAGTTTTGCCTCCAGTGTTTTTCAGTAGGTATCCCTGCTCCCCCACCACACCCCCAATTTGAATGCACATTTGATGGTGTCAGGCCTCGGCATAAGCTCCATCGATTTCCTGGAACTCTTTAAGATAAAGTTCAAACTCCCTAACAAGACTTCAAGAACTGGCCTGTTTCCCCCTCCAGTCTCATGTTTTGCCCTCCTACCTCAAACTCCAGCCTCCTGAACTCTCATTTCTTTGACAGCACCACAAGCTCTCTTGTCTCAGAGTCTGCACACATGCCTAGAATTTCCATCTCTCACTCCCTTTGCTTATCATAAACTTCGCCACCACTGGCATGAGTAAGTGAGCATTCTACTCCCCCAGTTAATCTTTTTCTACACCATTTTGTTTCTTAGTCTGTCCCATCAGACCGTAATTTCAATGAGAATAATGAATCTAGCACAGTACCTGACACATTTTAGAAAATAAGTATTTGCTTAATAAATGAATGGTGATGGGAATCGTCCTCCACAAAGCCGAACAACATCTATTATTGTGCATGGGTGGGGTTGCCTCTTAAAAGTTATTATTTATTGCCCACACTGGAAGAAAAAAAAAAAAAACAGCCGAGCCCAAACCCTAGTTTGTGCAAGTGGCGTTAGGAACTTAATCCAAACCCGAAGAAGGAAGACTCCTGCGAATCCCACACCCAACATCCATCTACAGTGAGAAAGGCGCTGTTGGCCTCCAGTGCCCGCCCCCCACCCCGCCCCCCTCCGCGCCCCCAATGCTCCGCAGTCTTCCACCTCCGTTGGAGCACTCACGTCTCTGGCGCTGGGTGCAGGTGAGGCCCGGGACGAGGAGGGAAGAGCAGCCTCGACAGAGAGTCCTCTTCACCGAGGGATCTCTGGGGGCGGAGGAGGATAGTGGTCTGGCGCCCGCGCTCCCTCTCGCGTTCCTCCCGCGTCCCGCCCGCCGCCCGCCCCGTGGCTGTCTCACCGCCGCAAGACGAGCCGCTTCGCAATGGTCCTCTCAGTGTAGCAGTAAAACCTCGCCAGCGCCTGGTTCTCGGGGTCCTGGGCAAGGACACAATGGGCGGCCTGCGGGAGGGGAGCAGTCACTCTGGGACGCCGAGCACCGTCCCCGTGGGGCCCTTGTCGCAGACTCACCTGGTACAGGAAGTTGAGCCTCTGGAAGGCCTCGCGGTCCTTCACCGGCCCCGCCATCACCGCCGCGCTCCAGGGCCTCCCGCAGCCCCACCCCTCGCACAGCCCCGCCCGGGCGTCCGCGCGAGGCCTCCTGGGAAACGTAGTCCCCGCGCCCTCGGGAGCCTCCCGGAGGCCTCACAAACTCATCGGTTTCTAAACACAACCCCAGCAATCCATGCCCAGGGTCCCTTTATGAATTTTCAGTGCTTTTGTCTTCCTCAAGCTCATGACCAATTATATCACCTAGAGACCTAGTGGAGCAGGTGAGGATCTTAAATCGGCCATTTTCAGGACAGAAGGCTGGTCTCTTTATGTAGCTACGTTGGGGAGATGGTTATGTGCAATTTATACCCAGCTAGAGCTTCTGCCCTACTCTCCTGAGGTCCGAGGCAGATGCCTGTAAGATCTACAGACGGAAGGCACAGAGGTAATACATTAAAAAAAAGCACTGGTGCCAGTGGGGGTGAAAGTGGGAAGGATCATGAGGGTGCTGGAGGGAGGGAAAAGGACTCCCGGTCCTCAGAAAGCACAGTTTACTCCTACTATTCCACCTACCAAAGAAACACACTTCCTGTTATGCAGTGCTGGACACACAGTAGGTGATCCTCACTTTCTGAGTGAATGGTTTCTAACTCCTAGGCTTAGGTACAGCACAGAAATCTGTCAACAGCATCCCCTGCCCCTGAAACTTCACCCCACTCCCCACACTGACATTCACCTCACACCCCTCCCTCTGACCTCTTCTATCTTCCAGTTCTTCTGTCTGGTGTCCTGTGACTCATAGTGACTATCAGTTACTGAAGTCAGAAGCAGAGGGACATGAATTGGAGGGGTAGAAGATCAATGAACCCTGAGATGGGGAGGGCAGCATAAGTCAGGAGAGGATGACTTCTCTCCAATTTCAGACCCAGTGCCAGGCGGGGACAGACAAGCAGGGCTCCAGCTGGGAGGAAGGACATGGCTGAAACCTCCTCTGGAACTAGTTTCACAAGGGTTTTCGGACTCAAATGAGAGTGGTGTGTTTAAAATGTAGATGTAGGCTGGGCACGGTGGCTCACACCTGTAATCCTAGCACTTTGAGTGGCTGAGGCAGGTAGATTACTTGAGTTCAGGAGTTCGAGACCAGCCTGTCCAACATGGCAAAACCCTGTCTCCACTAAAATTAGCCGGGTGTGGTGGTGCATGGCTATAGTCCATAGTAATCCCAGCTACTCTGGAGGCTGAGGCAGGAGAATTGCTTGAACCTGGGAGGCGGAGGTTGCAGTGAGCTGAGATCACCACTGTACTCCAGCCTGGGCGACAGAACGAGACTCTGTCTCATAAATAAAATGTAGATGTCCGGCCCACCCCAGACCTTGACTAACCACTAAGGGTGAGACCCAGGAACATGCATGTCTAACACCCAGTGATTCTTACACATCAGTACAAGGCTGTCACCAAATTACCACACAACACAGAGATCACTTCAGTGGATCCTTTGTTCCATATTATTTTAACCAACCAAAGTATCTTGCCACAAAGAACCACAGTCAAGGCACAAAGGTAAGAGGAGGAGAGTCTGGACAAAGTCCTGTTGAGGTGGTAGGAGGAACTGAAATGCCCTCAGTAAACTGCAGATTCTTCTCTCAGTCATTTCTGTGAAGATTACCCGAATAGCAGATAATCCAAATTGGTTTAGTTTGGTTTGGCATGCATCACTTTTACCTTTTATGACAACATATGTACCCTATAAGTTGTTTATTTTGGCCTAACATGAAAATCATTTACATTCTCTGAAAAGGGAAATGGCAAAGGGTGAGGGATGGCAACAAACAAGCAAAAGCCTGGCTTAACACCAGTTCCAGGCCAGATGCACACAAGCCAAATGAAGTTGCCTATCTGGCCCTTCCCTATATACCACCCTCTTCCACCCTGTCCTTAGGGTGAGAAAGACTCCATAACCTTTTTTCCTTTCTGGCTTGGACACCTTGGCCAGGTAAGAAGGCTGACAATTTGGGAGTAGCTACTAAGTAACATTCTTTAAGGCCAGGGCTTTGTATACAAATACCCTTCTCTTTCCTCTAATACCTGACTCTCCTTTCCAAGTTCCCTTGGGAACACTGTGAAAGGATAGATGTGTCTTGCAGGATCTCTTCCACTTTGCCTCTGGAGAGGAGCAAGGTGACTGACTTATTGGTATAGAGGCAGGCAATAAGCCAACTCTGCTGAAGGCTGAGGCAGGGACCTGGGTTCTCCTCTGCTTTCTTTTCAGCCTCTCCTTCTCCCCACATTCCTACCTCTGGCCAATCTTACCCATAATCGCAACCTTACCCTTGGAATAGAAGACCAAAGAAACCTCCCTCCTCTTCATTAATCTCTAGGAATCTGTTCCTTTAGCCCACTTCCCTGACCCTTCTAGCCTTGTTGATGTCCAATCTCTGCCCTCAGAAAAACTCCTCAATATCTAGACCCATGAGAGCATCTGTCATTCATCTCTCATGAATTCAGAGGTACACAGACCCCTGTGATCTACCTCAAGAAGCAAGACTATCCTGGGTCAAAGAACCCCCTAAAAAGATGTGCAGGGGTTTCTGTTTCCTCCTCTGGTTTGAGCAAGTCAGACCCTCACAGATTTTTTGTTTCTGGAAAAGCCTCTCCTTCCTTCCTGACCCGTCCTTGTGCAACAGAAAACCTGATGGACTTCAGGGTAGACAATCCTCTGGGAACCAGCTCCCCACCCTGACAGTTAGGAGGAAGTCACAGCTGTGCTCTCTCATCCAGCCCAGTCCTACCTCCCCCTCCACACAAAACCATCCTAGAAACCAAGGTGTTTCTCCAAGATGATTCAGGACTGGACCCAGGTGGACACGAAGACGTTCCAGCAGGACACGGGAAGGAGGCCCGTAGCACTTGACCCTGCCTCACCCCAGTCATTCCCACATCCCAACCTGTCACTCCCAATCTGTTGGGGGCCTGATGGTAAGTGGTGCAGCATTCTTCCGTCCAGCCCGGATGCCTGGGTAGAAGAGGGGCCAAAGTTTCTCAGTAAAAGTATCAGTGAAGGTGTAGATATGAGAGCGGTCTGTGACATTGTAGAAAGACAGTGTGCCGGCCTCATAGTCTAGGAATATGCCTACCCGCTTGGGTTTCACCTTGATGTGCAAAGGGGTAAAAGGTGTGGTGGTGGCTGCATATTTGTCCCCATTCCATAGCCGCACCCGCCAGTAGCCAGTCTCAGGGAGTGGAGTCAACTCGCCCTTTCGGCTCACGGAGTCCCGGCATACACCCACTGCCCAGTGGGTCTTGTCGCCCACCTCCACCTCCCAGTAGTGTCGACCTGAGGTGAAACCCTCAGTAGCCAGGACGCAAGGGTAGAAGGTGAAACGCCTTGGTGTGTCAGGGAGATCCCGGAGTCTTGTCTCCACGAACTTGACGCTCTTACGATCCTCTGACAGGACTAGGTTAGGATGAGCTGTCTCAGGGTCCAGGGTCACATCCGCTGGCGGGAGAAGCCAGAGTGGGGAGCTAGATGAGGATGGGAATAGCTAAATGCCCCTGCCTCACTCTTCCAGCCTGCCTTTACAGAGCCTGGTCCCTTAAAGGTCCCCAGAACAACCTGGTTTGGTTAACTTTCTCAATCCATGGTGTCACCTAAGGAAGGGGAGAAAGCAATGGCTCACTTCTCACCCTGACCCTAAAGTAAACAGATAATAATCTCTTGAGTCTGCAGTGGCTGGTAATCTAGGTTCCCGCCTGGTCCTCTCTTCATCTCCCTCTGACATTATCATTTATCTCACTATGTAGAGAAGTACAAGGTGTAGTCTGAGGGGCAGAAAAAAACGGAAAGTGTTAAGAAGGATGCCGAGCAAGACAGCATATGGTCTAGGGATAGGGTGACCATGTGTGTTTTCCAGGAACTGGCCTGGTTTATGACTATTTTCCCTGCATATTCACATTAATATAATGACACTCCCTTTCAGTTTCTTTCTTTTTTTTTTTTTTTGAGATGGAATCTCACTCTGTCCCTCAGGCTGGAGTGCAGTGGTGTGATCTCAGCTCACTGCAACCTCCGCTTCCCAGGTTCAAGCAGTTCTCCTGCCTCAGCCTCCAGAGGAGCTGGGATTACAGGCGCCCAACACCACATCTGGCTAATTTTTATATTTTTAGTAGAGATGGGGTTTCACCGTGTTGGCCAGGCTGATGTCGAACTCCTGACCTCAAGTGATCCACCAGCCTTGGCCTCCCAAAGTGCTAGGATTACAGATGTGAGCCACCGCACCCGGCCTTTGAAGGTTATGCAAGTTTACATGGTAAATTATATAACCACTCTACCCGATGACTTTGGCAAATTATTTAACCTTTCTGGGTCTCTATTTAGAAAAGAATGGACCTAAGAGTAGATAACGCTTAAGGCTTCCTCTCACTCCAAGTTCTGTGACTCAGGGTGAGACTAAAAGCCAGATAAAGGGGTAGGTGTGTGTGGGAGTAAGAAAAGTGAGACATAGGATAACTGAAACCCATATAAGGTAGGACCTAAAAACTTTCTTCTCTCTAGTGGTTTCTTCTAGTTTCCTTTTGGGAACAACTCACCAATTAGCTGTTTAAGGATTTTCCTTAGGGCAAAGTACTGTCGGGGAAAATTGCTGAAGTTCTTTTCCAGCTCTATGGATACTGAAGTCACCTCCATGGTCTTCACCTTTTCACATCTAGGAGGGATAGGGAGATAGGGGAAGAAAGGGCAGGGTTAGGGAGAAGCTCCAGCCAAGTGACTATTCAGATGTTAACATTTTTAGGGAGAAATTAAAATTCTCCATCTTCCCACTTTCTTCCTCCTCCCTGAAAAGCTCACCTGTTGATTTCTTTTACTAATCCAAGGAGAGCCTTATGATCCCGTGGACAGATCGTTGAGAGTGAGCCTCCGAACTTTCTAGGAATATTCCTGTATTTCATGCAAATGGATGATTGCCCTCCCTGCTCTCCCAACCCCTTCCTCCTGCCATCTTGTTTGGACACAATTCCACCCACTGGCACAAGTAGAATCTGATTCTACCTTATCATTCTCCTTCTCAAGAAGTCCTGATGTTCAAAGGGGAAAAGGGATTATTATTCCCAATAATTTGTTCTCTAACTGGCTTCATGGGCACAATGAACATTCTCCCATACCCTGCCCAGACACACTACATGACTTTCCCAACCTCACCCCCAACCCAAACTCCTGACTGTACCCCTCCTCTCTAAGCCAAGACCTAACTCACTCAGAGAGATACAACAATCACTTACTTTTCCAGGGTACTTTTGACATCCTAGAAGGAAGGAGAAAAGAAAGCAATATTGGTCCTGGTATTCAGTGGTCCTGAAGGCAAAAGGTTCCCCCTCCTCCCCAAAGTTCCACAGCTATAAAATAGGGATAGGATAAACTGAGGGTCACACAGTGCAAGAAGAGCTCCAGCGGGACCTGAATGCACTTCTCCCAACCTAATCCCTACTTTCAACTTCTGGTCATCATGAAGCTTGGTCATTTATATCACTTCCCAATGATTTCTTTTATGCTTGTCTTTGCTCCTCAAGGATGCTGGGAGCTCCCTATAAGGGACAGGGATTGTATCAATTCTTTACTCTGTCCCCCAAGTACCAACCACATATCTCACTCTCCTTGAGGATAAGTACAGAGAGTTCCAGACTGGTGGCATAGGAACAAATCACACATTCCTGTTACGGTTTGGTATCCCCTGTCTTGCATTAGTTAATAAACATCAATAACTGGCTGGGCACAGTAGCTCACGCCTGTAATCTGAGCGCTTTGGGAGGCCAAGACGGGTGGATCACTTGAGGTCAGGAGTTCAAGACCAGCCTAGCCAACATGGTGAAACCCTGTCTTTACTAAAAATACAAAAATTAGCCAGGTGTGGTGGTGTGCGCCTGTAACCCCAGCTACTCAGGAGGCTGAGGCAGGAGAATCGCTTGAACACAGGAGGCAAAGGTTGCAGTGAGCCGAGATCATGCACTGCACTCCAGCCTGGGCGACAGAGCAAGACTCTCTCAGAAAAAAAAAAAAGGAAGAATAAACACATTAATAACTGTGTGCTAATACTGATTTGTGAATACTTGGGGTCCAGAAGACAAAGAAGACAAATCTCTGTCCCACAAGGATTTCCCAGTTTAATATGGAAGGCAGAACACACATACATGAAAGGCCATAGGAACAAATACCAAGCAATACGTAACATAAAAATAAATGTACAATGAAGCCTCACTGCTTCAAATGCTGGTAATCTAATCTCTAAGATAAAAAATATGTTCCCTAGTTTTGCTAACACCATTCATTTACGTAAGAGAACAAAATATTTCAAACACTTTAGAGGTATTATTAATATATACATATCAAAAGCAATATATTATTTAAACAATTTCAGGCATACCTCATTTTATTGCACTTCGCTTTATTGTGTTTTGTTGACATTGTATGTTTTTCAGATAGATGGTTTGTGGCAACCTGTGTTGAGCAAGTCTACTGGCACCATGTTTTCCAACAGCATGTGTTCACTTCATGTCTCTGTGTCACATTTTGGTAATTCTCACAATATTTCACACTTTTTCATTATTATATCTAGTATGATCTGTGATCAGTGATCTTTGATGTTACTATTGTAATCGTTATGGGGGCACTGTGAACTGCATCCATATAAGACGAACAACTTAATCGATAAATATATTTTATGTGTTCTAACTGATCCACTACCAGCTATTCCCTCATCTTTCTCCATCTCCTCTGGCCTCCCTATTCCGAGACACAACGATATTAAAATTATATCAATTAATAATCCTGCAATGGCCTCTAAGTGTTCATGTGAAAGAAGAATCACATGTCTCTCACTTTAAATCAAAACCTAAAAATGTTTAAGCTTAGTGAGAAAGGCACATTGAAAGCCAAGATGGGCTGAAAGCTAGGCCTCTTGTGCCAAACACCAAGCCAGGCTGTGAATGCTAAGGAAAAGTTATTGAAGAAAATTAAAAGTGCTACTCCAGTGAACACACGAATGATAAGAAAGTGAAACAGCTTTATTGCTGAGATGGAGAAAATTTTAGTGATCTGGATATAAGATCACATGATTCCCTTAAGCCAAAGCCCAATCCAGAGCAAGGCTGTTAACTCCTTCAGTTCTATGAAAGCTGAGAGAGGTAAGGAAGCTGCAGAAGAAAAGTTTAAAGTTAGGTAGGTTGTTTTAAGAAAAGAAGCCATCTCTGTAACAAAAATGTGCAAGGAGAAGCAGCAAGTGCTGATGCAGAAGTTGCAGCAAGTTATCCAGAAGATCTTGCCAAGATTACTGATGAAGGTGGCTACACTAAACAACACATTTTCAATGTCAACAAACAGCCTTCTATTGAAGAAGGTGCTATCCAGGGCTTTCACAGTTCGAGAGAAGTCAATGCCTGGCTTTAAAGCTTCAAAGGACAGGATGACTTTCTTATTAGAAGCAAGGGCAGCTGGTGACTTTAAGTTGAAACCAGTGCTCACTTACCATTTCAAAAATCCTAGGGCTCTTAAGAATTATGCTAAATCTACTTTCCTTGTGCTCTAGAAATGGAATAACAAAGCCTACATGACAGTACACCTGTATACAGCATGGTATACTGAATGTTTTTAATTAAAAAAAATTACCTTTTGTAGAGATGGGGTCCTGCTATATTGCCCAGACTGGTCTTGAATTCCTGGCCTTAAGCAGTCCTCCTGGCTTGATCTCTCAGAGTGCTGGGATTACAGATGTGAGCCAACGTGCCTAGCCTTTACTGAAGTTTTTTTTGGGGGGATGGAGTTTCACTCTTGTCACCCAGGCAGGAGTGCAACTGCATGATCTTGGCTCACTGCAACCTCTGCCTCTCGGGTTCAAGCGATTCTCCTCCCTCAGCCTCCCGAGTAGCTGGGATTACAGGCGCCCACCACCATGCCCAGCTAATTTTTTTGTATTTTTAGTAGAGATTGGGCTTCACCATGTTGGCCAGGCTGGTCTCAAACTCCTGACCTCAGGTGATCCACCTGCCTTGGCCTCCCAAAGTGATAGGATTACAGGTGTAAGCCACCGTGCCCAACCCTTTACTGAAAATTTTAAGTTGAGACCTACTGCTCAGAAAAAAAGATTCCTTTCAAAATATTACTGCTCACTGACAATGCACTTGATCACCCAAAAGTTCTGATAGAGATGTAAAATGAGATTCATGTTGTTTTCACGTCCGCTAACACAACATCCAATCGGCAGCCCATGGATCAAGAAGTAATTTGGACTTTCAAGTCTTAATAAATGTATTTCATAAAGCTGCTATAAATAGTGATTTTTCTGATAGATCTAGGCAAAGTAAATTGAAGGCTTTCTGGTAAGGATTCACCATTCTAGATGCCATTAAGAACATTTGTGATTTGTGAAAGGAAGCCAAAATATCAATATTAACAGGCATTTAGAAGAAGTCTATTCCAACCCTTATGGATGACTTTTAGGGGTTCAAGACTCCCATGTTGTAAGTAACTGCAAATGTGGGTTTTCAAAGATTTTCAAAGAAGTTCTACTGGTGAGTAAAATGCTATTAAACAGCATCACATGCTCAGAGATATCTTTCATAAAAGGAAGAGTTGAAAGTAAACTTCGTCGTTGTCTTATTTTAAGAAATTACCACAGTCACCCCAATCTTCAGCAACCACCACCTCGATCAGTCAATACTAACACAAGACCCTCCACCAGCAAAAATATGATTCCACTAGGAAACCCAACAATTAATGTGACTTGCTTTATCAAGATACTCGCTTTATTGAAGTGGTATGGAACTGAACCCACAATATCTCTGAGGTATGCCTGTATCCTTTAAACTATGTTTCTGTCCTTTTTCAGCAGTACATAAATCAAATTTCAGGACTTAAAAGTAATGGTAACTGCATTTACAAAATTTTTAATGCATAGTTTTTCACTAACTCAGGCTAGACTTCCCTCCTTTCAAAAGAATGAATCTTTTCTTTGGAACAGATTAAGCACATAATTGCTGACCAGAGATAAGAACACAAAAATGGTTAGAAGGGGATGGGAGAAATCACTTTTCCGTAGCAAAGACCCTTTGAGTACACCTGGCAGAAAGAACTGGATTTAGAGAAGGAGAGCAGAAGAATGAGTATCCCAGGCTGACAAATCCCAGGCTACGCAAAGCTACGCTGCACTCAGCCTGAGGGGCTATGCAGGGGCAAAGGTCGAACCTTAAGCATCTCGAAGCCTGACTGTAAGCACTTGCCCTCCACCTCGGCAGCCAAGTGGGCCAGGTCCCGGCGCTTGTCCCCAAGGTGAGCAGCATTTTCTCGGAGTCGCTGCAGAATGTCCTGTTCCTCTTCTTCCAGTCGTGAAAGCAACACCTGCTGCTCTTCATCCAGCCGCCTATGAAGCTCTTCAAACTCCCTCAAGATCTGCTGTCGGCGACTTTCCACTAGTCTCTGAGAAGAGAGGGAAGATGTTGTATCAGCAGGGTCAGTGTGGTATAAGGAAGCCTTTCTCTCACCCACCATATGTATGAATTAACACAGACTTCCAGTTTCATTGAAAATGGTTTAACAAAGGCTGGGTGTGGTGACACATGACTGTAATCCCAGGACTTTGGGAGGCCGAGGGAGGTGGATTGCTTGGGATGAGAAGTTTGAGACCAGCCTAGGTAACATGGTGAAACCCCAACTCTACAAAAAATACAAAAAATTAGCTGAGTCTGGTGGTGCATGCCTGTAGTCCCAGCTACTGGAGAGGCTGAGGTGGGATGATGGCTTGAGCAAAGAAGGCAGAGGTTGGAGTAAGCTGAAATTGTTGCACCATTGCACTCCAGCTTGGGCAACAGATCGAGATGAAAGACAGACAGACAGGAAAGAAAGACAGAAAGACAAAGACAGAAAGAAAAGAAAGAAAGAAAATGAGAGAAAATGGTTTAACAGAACACTCATTTTTTATTCCATTGGAATTTCCTTCTGTAAAGAATGGCTCCATCACTATCACCCCCCTACTGATGACTTGGTAGTGAAGACCACTGCGGATATATATATTTGTTTTAATTTAAGATAAAGAACTCAATAATATGATGACATTAACTATTACAGATATCAGAGATATCTGTGTTATTATCAACTGTAAAGTTCTAGTTAATTCAATCTGTCGAGAAAAGGAAAGTATAGGCTCAGCATGGTGGCTCATGCCTGTAAACTTAGTGCTTAGGAGGCCCAGGTGAGAGGATCACTTGAGGCCAAGACCAACCTAGGAAACATAGTGAGACCTTGTTTCAACTAAAAAGAAAAAAAAATTAGTCGGGCATGGCAATGCACATCTGCAGTCCTAGCTACTCAAAAAGAATCAAGAGGATGGATGGCCTGAACACTGGAGTTTGAGTTAGTGTGCTGTGATCACTACTGCCCTCCAGCCTGGGTGAGTGAGATTCTGTCTCAAAACAAGCAAACAAAAAACAACGAAACAAAAAGGAAAGTACAAATAATAAAAAGTTAAAAATAAGATTGTCATCCTTTGCATATTGCAACACATGCACCAGATAAAAACCAGAGAACTGGGAAAGTGTAAGAATCAGTAAGAGTTATATGGGTTATTATAAAATATACATATGTAGATTTCAGGGCTGAACTTGTTAAATTGTTTCAAGTCACTTCAGAGAACTGGCAATTCCTACCCCAGGAACAGGTTACAGAAGTTTGTTAGTAATTTAGTTTCTTGAAATTTGAAACATGCTTTCTTTAAGCCAGCACACAGACTTAAGCCTCTAACATTCCTGAAATTTGATAATATAGGACTCAAACACCAGCCATAACACTTTCTGAGAATTATCAGCACATCCTCTCTTCTGCATCTCCACTACAACAAATAGTGATCTCCCTAAAGAATTCCCCAAGCATCATGTGACTGATGATGAAGCAAAGTGAGAAGCAGAGACTGGGACTCTAGAAGGAAGTGGATAGGGAATGAAAGGCAGGCTTGAGGGTGGAGAGAGAGTGGGGATGCAAAGCCAGGATGGGCCTGACAAGCGTGGCATTTGTGGATTCAAGCTAGTTCCTGGCAGAGGCTGACTAGCTCTTCTAGTTTAGGGCCACTTGCTGCTTCACTTTCCACCACTGCCTTCTCAGTGTACATCTGAACAAAATATATTCTCACATTTGCCCTCAATAAAACACAGCCTTTGTGTGTGTGTGTTTGCACATGTGTGTGCATGCATGTGTGTTTGTTTAGGTATGGGTGTAAGTTTAACATTCATGACTGTGATAAATAGGAAGCAAAAAGGCCCTTCCTCTTATAAACCGGTAATCTTTTCTCTTTTTTTCACTCTATATTTTAGGGCAGTGGTTCTTGATGAAGCTGTTAACACACTCTGAGGATATTTTGGAAATAGGCACATCTTCTTGTTTTCCATGGTTGGGGAAGTTCCTGACAATGACGCAAGCACTCCTCCAATGTGTGAGACAATCCGGCATAGTGAACTGACCTGCAACATTTTCTAATGTTCTGCTGGATATTCAAAAACACAGGCCTGGGCGGCCAGGCACGGTGGCTCACGCCTGTAATCCCAGCACTTTGGGAGGCCGAGGTGGGCAGATCACAAGGTCAGGAGATCGAGACCATCCTGGATAACACGGTGAAACCCTGTCTCTACTAAAAATAGAAAAAAAAAATCAGCTGGGTGTGGTGGTGGGCGCCTGTAGTCCCAGGTACTTGGGAGGCTGAGGCAGGAGAATGGCATGAACCCGGGAGGCAGAGCTTGCAGTGAGCCGAGATGGCACCACTGCACTCCAGCCTGGATGACAGAGCGAGACGCCGTCTCAAAAAAAAAAAAAAAAAAAAAACCACAAAAACAAAAACATAGGCCTGGGCTTGAATGCCATTTTATATAGTATAAACACAGAGTAATTCTTACATGGTTTTACTATACGTGAATTTTTCAGCAATAGCTGAATAAAACCCAAGATTATATTGTTATACTTAGAACTTTACCAAAAGTTATTACTATGAAAAATCATATCACCAAGAGCTAAGCTACTTATGGTATTTCAATCATATTGGCACACATCCATCTCAGTCTGAATTTGTATTTATGGCGTTGCTGATAATGACACATATAGGGGCAAGCATATAACCAGCTACACTGTAAAGTCGTTCAGGGTAGTCATGCCCAAATATTACATACCACATTTTATCATCAATTATGTTTCATTATATTATATTTGGACATGATAGACTCTTTAAAATTTAACATTATGCACATAGGTTATATTACCTGTAATTTTCAGTTCAGCATAATTACAAATTATTTTTTAAAGGGGCATTGAGTCTGATGAGGGAGAAGGAGGGAGAATTCAAATGGTCACAAGAGGAATGTTGGTGGTAGTTTTGGAGACCACTGAAATGACAATTTACAGTTTAAAAAACAGGACAGTTCTGTTCAAGCATTTAGAAGGTTTTAAAAAGGTATATTTCTCTCTCCATCCTTTACCTTCAAGAAGGTGATCAACATGAAGAAGAAAGTTAATGACTAGCAATAAGCACCATTTTCATATTTTTAGGTTTCTTGGAAGGCCTCTAAAAGAACAAAAAACTTTAAAAGTTCACATTTCTAACCAAAATTGGTTCAAATTTTAAAATTTCAAATGCTTACTTTGCTAAAATGTATAAGGCACTAAGGTAATAATACTTGCTTTCTGATGAAATGTTATCATTCATTTAAAAATTCATGTTTCTATGAATCAAAACTTGGATTTAGCTTCTGGTGATCTCTACATGTCAACTCTTAAAAACTCATTACTTCTTCGGGAAACCTTTAATGAGGCCAAATTTCTATGTTGTCTTCTTATGAACTTGCAGCTGTGCATTTTGTGCCATTACTTATTTTCTCCACTTAACTTTAAGCTCAAGGAGGGCAGGAACTGTGTTTTTGCTCATCATTGTTCCCCAGTGTCAAATACCGGGTTTGGCCTAAACCAGGAGCTTAACAAATATTTACTGATTCACGAAGAACTAGTATTCCTGGTTTTGCCACTTACTGGCTTTATGATCTTGGACTAGTCACTTACCCAAGGTCCATTTCCTTCTGTGTAAGCTGAAGGTAATAATACCTACCTTAAAGAATATCTAGGTTTACCCCTACATCTTACTAAAGATGGCCTCAGGATTTCCTTCTGTCTCTTTCTCGTAGCTTTTCTATGTCTCACTTATCCCAATTTGGCCTGAACTCTAAGACCCTAACAACCCTATAAATCTGGAATGTTACGGATACCTAATGAATTAATGCATAGGACTCAATTCTAGTTATTTTTGCTACAAATGATAATTGTTCACTGTTCAATGGAAGACAGACAGACACCAAAATACCATGCTACAAATAAGGCAATGCTATAAAAGAGGTGCAAAATTGTATGAAAATTAAGAATGTTAATTTCTGAAGGGTCAGGAAAGGCTGCATAGGAAGTGGCTTTCATCCCGCCTGAGAGATGAATAAGATCCTATGGTGGAGGATGGGGAGGGGGAGAACATTCTAGCATATGTAAGCTTACTTGAGTTTTAAGAATGTGGTCCTAATGTCATTAGATAGTTCTTCTGAGACTCTTGGTCAGCTCCTTTTCCCTTTCTCCCCAGTGAATCTTCCATATTCTCCTCTCTTCAAGTCCTCTAAGAAACTCCCATCCCTGCCTTCTCAGCAGAAAGCCTCCTTTGCTGCTTTAACAAAAAAAGGAGACCAAGAGGCACGAACTCTCTCAGCTCACCAGATGTAAGATATTCTGTCTGTTCTTCATCTCTTAAATCCCTCTTAATACTTAATTCATGACAAGTAATTTAAGTACAATGTTTAATGACAATCAAGCCTAATAAAATGCCATCATTTTTGAGAGAACTACATTGTTCTTTCTTTTTTTTTTTTTGTTTTTTTTGTTTGTTTGAGACAGAGCCTTGCTCTGTTGCCCAGGCTGGAGTACAATGGTGTGATCTTGGCTCACTGCAACCTCCGCCTCCCAGGTTCAAGCAATTCTCCTGCCTCAGCCGCCCAAGTCGCTGGGACTACAGGCATGTGCCACCATGCCCGGCTAATTTTTTGTTTTTAGTAAAGACAGGGTTTCACCATGTTGCCCAGGGTGGTCTCAAACTCCTGAGCTCAAGCAATCTGCCCACCTTGGCCTCCAGAATTGCTGGGATTACAGGTGTGAGCCACCATGTCCGGCGAGAACTGCATTTTTCTAATGAACCGGAACTGGTGGATTAAATAGTGTACAGTTAATTCCCTCATAGGCAAATACCCTTCAGAGCAGCCTACATGGGATTGCCTGCCTTTACCTTGAGCTCACCAGGCTTCTTCTCCTCAGAGGACTTGCAGCGAGTGATCTCCTGCAGCTTCTGTTCCAGGGGCTCCAGACACTTCTGCAGTTTTTCCTGAGGGGTAGGGAGGAAGTGGGAGAGGTGACATTTGGGGTTGACTGGTATACCTACCATTCAGAGATTAAACCATTTGTTTTAAACCATTTATTTGCTTCCTAGCCATCTTACTGCCTCTTGATCTGACTTCCTTCCTTGCCTGTCATTTGGGATGTCAACTTTCTACAGTCCCTCCTCCTGCCACTAGCCTGTCCACATCACCTTCTCTGCTCACCCAACTGTCCTTTTACTGAATCTGAGATAGCTGTCATCAACTCTGTGTCCTTTCTCAACTCTTTCCATTTTCTTACTGAGGCAACTGCCTATTACCATCCAAGCAACCTTCTGTACCCTAATATCTCTCTTTAAACCTGTCCTCCCATCCACCTCTGTCCACCTACAATAAAAACATGGTTATTATACTGTAAGTTACCTGAAATCTTGTTTTCAAGAGTAACATAACTAAGCAAAGTATATGATAAAATGCTAACACATTCATATCTCTGTTCCCTTTATTCAAACATTTTCCTTTGTCTCAGCAGTAAGTTAAATGATATGCCATGTTACCCATTACCTAGAGAAGCTGCAAACAATTGAATGGTTCAGCTTAGTCCGGTAGGTATCAGTCTCAAGCGATATTACCTATGCCCAATAACCAGTGTGAAAACAAGGAGCATTCTGAGCAGGCAGGCAGAATGAAGAAACCAGACTACTTTTCAGTTCTTCCTAAGTTTAATCTTTTCCATGTGGTTTCATTCATTTATGAAAAATATGACCACACATACCAATATTCACCCATAAGACTCACATGTATTGCAAAAGTCAGAGAGAAATTTTAGGGCACTTCTCACCATTGCTCTTTTTCAGGCTAGAGGACAACTGATCACACATACTGTGTGCCCCTGCATATGCAGCTCTGAGAATACAAAGTGAGTAGTAGGAGCTTACGATCTCTACCTAGGGAGTATCTCATCCTCTGCCGCTTCTCCCTTTTTACCCACACTGACATCGTGTGTCTGCTTCCCCACCTTGTACTCCTGTGTAGCATCGTCCAGTGGCACAACGGTGTGGGCCCGGTGGGTGTGGGAAATTGCACATATCAAGCATACAGCCTCCTGGTCCTCATAACAGAAAAGGCTGAGGGCCTCATGGTGTTGGGGGCAGAGGCTCTCATCCCGGATCTTCCGCTTGACGGCCTGGAGCTGCTTGGCAATTTCCACCATACTGCCTAGTTGCCGATTAGGTCGGAGACTGCGGTAGCGGGATGTCTTTCGACAGACAGGACAAGGGAAGTCCCTCTCTAGGTCCTCCCACCAGCGGGTGATGCAAGCTTTGCAGAAGTTGTGCCCACACTCAATGATGACAGGTTCCTTCAGATACTCCAGGCACACAGAGCAGCTCGCCTCCACCTGTAAGTTCTCCAAAGCCGCAGCTGTAGAGGCTGCAGAGGCCCCAGCCTCTAACAGACTTGTCTCTGCCATAATTTAACTTGGGAGTGGGGAAGAGGACAGAGAAAATAAAAATATTAATTGGAGGTTTTTTCTTTTTTTTTTTTTTGCATCCCTGACCCGACATTTATCCCTATGTTAAGTCCTAACTCCAGATTTGCCCCTTCTTGTTATTCTCCATCTTCTCTTCCAATCAATTCAACCTCTTTGTTTCTCCATTTTCAAAACTTGTGACTCCCAGCCATCAACCTTTTTTTTCTTGTTAGTAAACTGACACACAACCCCCAATTGATCTATCTTGTCTCTTACCTCTGCTTTCTCTTGTTAGAAAGAGAAGCTTCCTTCAACTCTAGCTCAGCATACTTCTCCTGATCCAGGCTCATTCCACTTATATCTTAGAACCAATAGTTCCAGACACTGTATCCTCGTTTGACATACGTTTCTAACAGACAAGAAAGGAATCTGAGAAGTAAAAAATGTCATAAAAATATTAACATTTCTTAAATTAACCATATTTTAAAGTTTAATGTTATAAGAGCTTTATGATTAATCCACTGGAGTCTAAGCTTGATTCTCTGACACTGTTCTCTCATTCTTCTAAATCACAATATCCAACCTTTTGGCTTCCCTGGGCCCACTGGAAGAAGTGTCTTGGGCCAGACATAAAATACATTGACACTAATGACAGCTGATAAGCTTAAAAAAAAAAAAGTCCATGCATAACTTTTGTTCTATCACCACCACAGAAGGTCCATGCATAATTTTTATCAGCCACCACAGATAAGCAAAGAGAGTCCTCATATTGAAAGGGTTAGATACCACTGCTCTAAAGGCTAACAAATGGAATGAATGAGGCAAAGGCAACCTCCTCTTTTCAGGAAAATCTGAAATTATTCTTCCTTTTATCCATCAGACTAGCCTAAAGGAAATCTGCTCTCTTCTTGGAATGACATTTCACGCAACATTCCATTTCTCTTGTGTTCATCTGGACACTCAGAACTGCTGAAAACTGATAAATTATGGCAACCATATTAAATATTGCTGAGCTCAGGCCAACGACTTCTTGAAAAGAGAGCAACGAGTCTATTTGTAGTGACTGGAATCTTTCAATATAGCTATTGATAACTAACACCCTGGGCATAGTGTGTCTCCAACTTATAGGTCCTGGAGTGGTTGCGAATTAAGAGACACAAAAGAGGCAATGAGATCTCCCTCAAGCGCAGCCTCAGAAGAATTGGAAATGCATAGGAGAGATTTATAAAACACAAGGCTGGCCCCCTACTCCATCCTTAAAACATCCATACTTTTAGCCATGGGTAAGTTGATTTAACTATCCCCATAACCTTTTCTCCTCCCGACCCCCATCCTTCTCCAGGGACCTACTGGAAGGAAGGAAATTTGGTAGATCTATGTGCTGAGAGATAAGTGGCCATGTAATGAGGTAGGTTAACAACAATTGTTCCTGTATATATTGTTGGCACACACAAATGTGTTTGATTTGGAGTAGGAACTGATAACTTCTTTGGATTTGAATTTCTTCTGTCAGCAATAGGAGAGAAGTTCAGTCAGATGATTTCTATCTGTGGGAATCCAACTTTGACTTGTGGTGATCCTACCCCTTCCTCAGTCTTTTACAAATTAAGTGGCCTCCTCACCTGAGACGAGTAGAACTGTATGCACAGTAAGGCACCAGGACGGATCTAGACTGGCAAAGAAGTGGTGAGAGAAATGGGGAAAGGGTTAGGGAAGAAGGGAGAGGACTCTCAACTACAGTCATAGTGAGACCTTGAGTGCCTCTGCGTTAGTCCTTCCTCTTCCTCTACTCCTTGTGTCTCAGCTGAAGGGCAAACTTCAGGGACAATCTCATTTTGTTTCTACCACTGTTCAGGGTCCCACCTTGCGACCCTCTCCTGAGAGGTTGTCCACAACTCTGTCCCACCCCCGTTCTCCATCTTCTTCCGCCAGATCTGGGGCTGGGGCATTGGAGAGGGGAAAGAGGAAACGTCGTGGCTGGCAGGGTAGGAAGGGATGCGTGTCCAGGTGAGAAAGAGGTGTGACGTGCAGATGGGATGCCCGCCGCTATGACGCTGCCGAGACCCGCGGTGACTGCGTCAGAGTTTCACCCGGGGAGGTGAGCAGCAGCGGGACGGGGGAACGGCGGGGTAGCCAAGCAACGCCGGACGCGCTGACGTCGCCGGGGCGGCAAAACGTCCGCCCGGGCCCGAGGCGGGCGGAGGCAGCTGTGGTTACGTGCGGGGGGCCGGTGACGCAGTCGCGGGGCGCTGGGACGCGGCTTGCGGAGCCGGCCGGCGAGCGCAGGCCCCAGGCTCGGGCGCGGCGGCGGGACAGCACCTACCTTCCCGGCTTCGGGTCCGGGAGTGCGGGGCGCGGAGCCGCCGGAGCGCTGCCTCCCTCCTTCCTCCTCCCCTCGCCCCCGCCCCGCGGCGCGACACACAATACTCGCCGGAAGCGGAAGCCGCGCCGAGGCTCGTGTCAGTGGAAGCTGGGGTGTCGGCGGGCGGCCGCGGCCGGGTCTAGCGGTGCCTGCGGAAGAAGGAGGAGGAGGGCTGGCGATGAGAAGCAGCAGGGGGAATCAAGGGCAAGAAGGGACCCAGAGGGGCAGGTGGCTGAGATGCTGGCGTCCAGGTGACCCGAGGAATCCTCTGGAGATACAGGCCCGCGCATGCGCGTGCTCGAGCGCTGAAGCCCATTGCCCGCAGGGCGCTGGACTGGCGCCCCGGCCGGCGAGGCTGTCTAGTCCAGGCTCCAGGCCCCGGCTCTGGCCAGGCGCCGCCGCCTCCCGGTGCAGCTGAAAGTCGACGAAGAGGGCGGGGCGGGGGCGGCTTGTGGACTTCCACACTTTTCCTCTCTTCGGGCCAGTCTGGGGAGAGGGTGGCTAGCTGTGGCGGCGGCCAATTACGTGGCGGACCTGCGGGGCTAAGCTGGCACGTCACTTCCGACTAGTGGAGTTTTTAGCCTTTTAACATTCAAGGATTAGGTAAGTTCTCCCCGCGGTAGACTTCAAATACTCTTTGTCCTGCCCCTGCTTGGCGAAATTTACCGAAATTATCTACCTATCCCGCTGGAGTGGGAGCCGGGGGAGAGCTGGAACCGCGTCTCTGCTGCTCACCTTTGTGTCCTTAGCTCCTTCGCATGGGGTCCGACCGCAACACGTGCGCTGGATAAACGCTTGTTAACTGGGTGAGAGCCAAGGCCTGTTCTTTCCACTTCTGGGGCTGTGACTTGAGTTTCTCCGCAGGAGCAGATAGTGTTTGTGTAGGGACTGCGGACTTTTGCATTACAGCCTCCCTGCTTTGCCCGCCTGCTGCTGGAAGCTTAGCAGGTCAGTGATTTTGGAGGAAGTGGGTGAGGTGATGAGGCTGGGGAAGAGTATGCTGGGAGAGGTGTGAGGGGCCCGGGAAGAGGTGATGGGGCTGGGGAGGGGCTAGTAGTGGGTAGAGGTGTGAAAAGGCTGAGGAGGAGGGGTTAGTGCTAGGAGGGGTGTGACACGGCTGGTAGAAAAGATAGCTTGCTCCGCCTCCCCGCCGCCAGCACTAGTCATGGAGAATATTCATTGAAAGAGATGAGCAGATTTTGCTGTACTCTCCTCGGTGAGAAAGGGCCCTAATTTCCGGTGTAAATTGTGCTGCTGTTTACAAACACCCTGCATTATTTAACCTCTCATCTTGGGAGCCAGAAACTATTTACTTGCTGAAAATATAATCCAGTATCTAAGGTATAAAGATTTGGGATCACACATGCTAATTACAGTTGTCTACCTTTACTGTTCCTTTTTTTGTGCCAAGAATTGAAGAAGATTAAATTTGAGAAAATTACATTTGATACCTTTTTTCACATTGCTATGTAGCCGTTAGGGATTTTAGCAGCAGCACTTGTTCTAATTCACAAGATGTCTCACTTGTAAGGGTAGTTTGAAAGCCACTAACTGGGCAGTGAGCCTCCTTAGCCGTGGCTTCGGAGGGAGAGAGAGATTTGGTTTTGATTTGTTAATTTGTGGCGCTTAAGATGTTGATAGCCCTCCTTTCTGGCTTTCTGTTTGTAGATAACCAGGAGGAATGTGATTAGACTAAGGAAATTAACAAGAGGAGGTCCAGTTCTAAGGACTGTGAAGAATGTGCTTGCCTAGAGACTGATATTAAGGGGATTTTATGCTGAATATGGAAGGAAAAAAGGGAGACTGTCTAGGTAAAACTATAAAATTATGAAGCGCAAGTAGTATGACATATAACAGGGCTTGGCAAATCTTTGCTGTAGAGAGCCAGAGAGGACATCTTTTTGGCCTTGTGGTCCATACTCAGCTTTCTCCTTGCAGTATGAAAACATCATTAGACAGTACTAAATGAAGGCTGGGCGCGGTGGCTCACGCCTGTAATCCTATCACTTTGGGAGGCCGAGGCGGGTGGATCACCTGAGGTCAGGAGTTTGAGACCAGCCTGGCCAACATAGCGAAACCCTGTCTCTACTTTTTAGTAGAGACAAAAATTAGCCGGGCGTGTGGCGCGTGTGGCGCGCACCTGTAATCCCAGCTACCTGGAAGGCGGAGGCAGGAGAATGGCTTGAAAGCAGGAGGCAGAGGTTGCAGTGAGCCGAGATCTCGCCACTGCACTCCAGCCTGGGCGACAGAGCGAGACTCTGTCTCCAAAAACAAACAAAAGCTAAATGAGCATGGCTGTGTGTCAATGAAACTTTATTATGGATGCTAAAATTTGAATTTAATAACATTTTCAAGTGTCATTAAATACTCCCCTTGGATTCTGGCCCTCCCTCCCCAGTCATTTAAAAATGTAAAAACCATTCTTAGCTTTTGACGTATACGAAGACAGATAGTAGACCGTAGTTTGCCGACTCCGGACAGGATAATAATGAAATATCCGGTATTTTTCAAGCGATAGTAATTGGGAGAGAGTGAAAACAAGCTATAATCTCTTAATTTCATCTGTCTGTTTACCACAATAATAAAGGGGATCTGAATTCTTAACACAAATTTGTTATGGCCTTTGAAAGTTGCCAAGATTTATGAATGTACGTATATTCTCTAAACAAGAAAAGGTATATTCCTTGTTTAAAAAGGATTACAGTTCAAGAAAAGTGGAATAACACCGAGTTTTGATGTTGATTTATACCAAAGGATTTTCAACACAGGAATATGCAAAAATGAACTGTAATAATGGGATGTAATTAAACAAATTTTAAATATACATTTTTAATATTTTTATATCAATAAGGGAAAACAGAAGCAATCTTGAAATGACTGAGTCATATAGAGCAAATGGGCATATAAGCAGTGTAGGTAGGAAACTGGTTGAGGTCAGATATGATGAGATGGGAGGGATGAAGGCGGGGTTTAATTGTCCAAGACTTGTGAGATTCTTACTCATGAAAAGGCAATATATCTAATCCCCCTCCATTTTTTTCATTTTTTATTATGAAAAATTTCAAACATAGAGACAGTCTTCAGCTTGCTTTTTATACTTTATAGTGGCTTTTATTGTTCCAGTTTGGTGACATAGAGCTACCTCACTCTTTTTAAAGTCTGCATTATTCATTTTGTAGACATGTGATTTATTCAACAATTTTGAGTAGACATTTAAGGTTCTTTCCACATCTTATTAAATAAAGGCTGTCGAGAACATCCTTGTACATATCTCTTTAGATCGTCGTGCCATTATATTAGTAGGATAAATTTCTGGAAGTTTGGCTGCTGGGTTCGAAGGCATGGAAATTTAAAATTCTATTAGATTTTTACAATTATCTTTCCGTAAGTGCCTGGCAAGGTGTCAGAGCCCTGGCACCGGGAAGTGGTCAACTCGCAGGTTGGTAAAATGAATTTACCATACCTACAAACAGTATAGGTTTGAAAAAAGGAAAGTTTATTAGAAAGGAAGAACTGAAACAGCCTTTGCAAAATGATGACTGAGACAGTGAAAGAAATCTAACGTAACCGACTCCATCTTGCTTCTAAGCTCCAAGCTGTTCTTGTTCATTCCTGGGCGTAGGCTGAACTAACTTTGGGAGAAACTTAGTTTATAAACAAAGAGGGTAACAGCCCTTTCCCAAAGCAGACTTCCTTCTTGTCTGAGGACTAGACTAACATTAGCCACAGGATTAGAATTTTTGGTTTAGTAGTCATGCAGCTGGAGGCTGCAAGATTCTGACCCTCCCTAAACTGCTCCTGTGATCAGTGCTTGAGGTATTTTGCAGACCCCGTACTTGATGGGTCAGCTGGCACTACCCACATCAATAAACTGGCTCTTTTTTTTTTTTTTTTTTTTTTTGGAGACGGAGTCTTGCTCTTGTCGCCCAGGCTGGAGTGCAAATGGCACGATCTCGGCTCACTGCAACCTCCGCCTCCCGGATTCAAGTGATTCTCCTGTCTCAGCCTCTCGAGTAGCTGGGATTACAGGCACCTGCCATCACGCCTGGCTTTTTCTGTTTGTTTTTTTTTTTTTGTTTTTTAGTAGAGACAGGGTTTCACAATGTTGGCCAGGCTGGTTTCCAATTCCCGACCTCCGGTGATCCACTCACTTTGGCTGCCCAAAGTGGCTCATCTGATTATGTGGCCCCCACCCAGGAACTGACTCAGTGCAGGAAGACGGTTTTGATTCCCTACAGTTTCATCCCTGACCAATCAGCACTTCTGGCTCACTGGCTTCCCCCCACCCACGAAGTTATCTTTTAAAACTCTGCTCCCCCGTGCTCGGGGAGACTGATCTCCCACACAGCTGGTTCTGCGTGAAGTACTCTTTCTCTATCACAATTCCCCTGTCTCGATGAATTGACTCTGTCTAGGCATGGGCAAGGTGAACCCCTTAGGCGGTAACAGAACACTGCAGAAGAGTGCAGTGGGGCGCCTCAGCAAGAGGACTAAGTGTGCTGCCATGGATTTTTCTTTAGAGGTATTTATGGACCTTAAGGCAGGAGCTTAGGATAGTAAAAAGAGTTTCGGCATGGCATTTCAGAGATGTATATAAATTTTAGTTACTTGTAAAAGTTGAAAGAGGCCTGGAACCAGACTTTAGATACTAGGAAAGTTTAATTACTTCTGAATTCCCAGAAAAGGAGTTTCGCCTCTGTCTGGCCCGTTTGGTGGTCACCAGGTGGTCTTTGTTCCCTTCGAAATTCCTCAGATCAGGAGCTTTTGTCTGTGGGGCCTATTCAGTGGTCAACAGGTGATCAACCTCATGGTCAACTTCAGTAAGGTTGCACCTATTTTTATCCACACCAGCATATCATGAAATACAGTAGTCCTCCCCTTATCCTCGGTTTCATTTCTCAAGGTTTCATTACTCTTGGCAACCACAGTCTGAATATTTTAAGTGGAAAATATCAGAAATAATTCCTAAGTTTTAAATTGGCACCTAAACAATTCCTGTTTTAAATTGGGCGCTGCACCATTCTGATGAACATGATGAAATCTCATGCCATACCACTCCATCCCTCCCCAGGATTTGCATCATCCCTTTGCCCAGTATCCACAGTGTATATGCAGCCTGCCTATTAGTCACTTAATAGCCTTCTTATCAATTTTACTGCCTAAGTATCACAGTGCTTATATTCATGGAACCCTTATTTTACATGACAGTGGCCCCAAAGTGCAGGAGTACTAATGATGGCAACTTGGATATACAAAAGAGAAGCCATAAAGTGCTTCTTTTAAGTGAAAAGGTAAAAGTTCTTGACTTAAGGAAATTTTTTAAATGCTGAGTTTGCTAAGATCCATGGTCAGAACAAATCTTCTATCCCTGAAATTATAAAGGAGGAAAAAGAAATTTTTGCTAGTTTTACTGTCACACTTCAAAATGGAAAAGTTGCAGCCACAGTGCATGTTAAGCACTTGGTTAAGATAGAAAAGTCATTAAAATTGTGGGTGGGAAACATCACCAAAAAAAACTTCCTATTAACAGCAATCGGGTTCAGTACTATCAGTGGTTTCAGACATCCACCGGGGATCTTGGAACATATCTCCCAAGAATAAGAGGGAACTACTGTAGTCTGTTTTCCTACAGTGGTGCCATTCCTGATATTTTCATATTTTTAAAAATTTGCTGATATTTTTATTTATAATCCTTAATAATTCCATAACAGGTCTTGTTTTGCAGGTAATGTTTTTAACCTTTTGTCAGTAGATAGGCATTTACTTCATTTCCTATTGATACTTAGTTTCCTCTTTTTTTCTGCTACACAGTATTACAATAATAACTTTCTGAACACATGTCATGTGCTGGTAGATTTTTGTGAGAAAGGTTTCTGGGTCGAAGGATATGGCATGTTTCTAATTTGATGGATGTTGCCATATTGCTTTCTCAGTAGGCTGTTAACCTTTACATTTCCTTACAACAATGTATGATCCTGCTCCCTTCCCACTTGCCCAGCAAAGATACATATTATTTATGTTTTTATTTTTTTCCCAGCCAATAAAGAGAAGTCTTAGTTACTTTTAATTTTCTCTTCCTTTAGTAATTTTGATTATGTTACTGTTTGCCATTCAGATTTTCTGTGCATTTTCAATTCTATCCTTTGCCCATTTTTCCTATTGGATTGTTTATCAGTCTCATACATATGCACACATGTATGTGTGCTTGCCCTATCCGTGTGTCCATGCATGCAAACGCACACACACACACACACCCCTACCTGTCCTCATTAAGAAATCCATCCTGACCTCCAGATTCTAATTTGCTTTCTTCGGTTTCTTACAATATTTTTTATTCCTTACATTTAAATATTTTTTAAAAATATCCTGTAAAAGGAGAATCTTAATTTTTCTCCAGAGCAGTGCTGTCCAATAGAAATATAATGGAAGCGAGCCAGGTGCGGTGGCTCAGGTCTGTAATGCCAGTACTTTGGGAGGCCAAGGCAGGTTAATCACTTGAGGTCAGGGGTTTGAGACCAGCCTAGCCAACATGGCAAAACCTCATCTCTACTAAAAATACAAAAAAATTAGCCAGGCCTGGTGGCTCATGCCTGTAATTCATTCCAGCTACTTGGGAGGCTGAGGCAGGAGAATCGCTTGAACCCGGGAGGCAGAGGTTGCAGTAAGCCCAGATCGCGCGACTGTACTCCAAACTGGGTGACATCAAGACTCTGTCTCAAAAAAGGAAATATAATGCAAGCCGCTTATATGATTTGTGGTTTTCTAATTATAGCTGCATTAAAAAAGGTAAAGAGAAACAGTTAAAATTAACTTTAATAATATATTTTATTTTACCAACCTAACCCATTATATTTAAAATATTATCATTTTAACATGTAATCAGTTTTAAACAATTACAAATAAGATATTTTATGTTCTTTTGTATACTAAGTCTTTGGAATCTAGTGTATATTTTATACATAGTCACTAGGTCTGTGGTTAAGTGCTTATGGCCATTGTGGGGCTCAGAACTCATACCCGAAAATATGGTGCTGTGGCATAGTAAACTGAAGAAACCCAGAGTTCTCTGTGACCTCCCCATCCCCTACCTCCTCTCTCAAATAAGTTGAAGTTTCTTTATCTGCCTAAGATCTACACCCACCAAAGAGAACTGTTGTTTTTTCTTGCCCTCCCTTGTTAGACCCAGAGTGTACTCGCACCTGAACAGACCCTTTCAGTGTCAAAGAGAACTATTTACATGTTAATCTCTGTTCCCAGATCCATTCATTCTCCCTAGTATCAGCTCACAGCAGCTCCACCAAGCAGTGCAGAGTCCCTATTGCTTCACATTCTCTCAGTACTTGGTATTTTCAGACTTTTGAATTTTGGCCATTTTTACTGAGTATTTTCCATGATTACAAATCAGATAGTATATATTGTCCTATGTTTATAGGCCATTTGGTATTCTCTATTCTGAAACATCTGTTCTGCTCACATTTTTCCATTGAGTCATCAATCTTTTTCTTATGAAGGAGTTTTTTGTTTATTTTTTAGAAAAAAAATAACATTCATTTCTGACAGTTCCAGAGGCTGGGAAGTCCAAGGTCAAGGGGATGCATCTGGTCAGAGCCTCCTTACTCATGGGAACTCTGCAGAATCCTGAGGTGGTATGGGGCATCACATGGCAAAGGAGCAGAGCATGCTAGCTGAAGCCTCTTTTCCTCTTATAAAGCCACTAGTCTAACTCCCATGATAACCCATTAATCCATGAACATCTCTTAAAGGCCCCACCTGTCAATACTGCCACATTGAAGGTTAAGTTTCAACATGAGTTTTGGAGGGGACAAACATTCAAACCATTGCATTCTGCCTGTGGTCCCCCAAACCCATGTTCTTCTCACATACAACTATACTTAATCCCCATATCCCCAAGGTCCTAACTTGTTTCAGCATCAACTCAGAAGTCCAAAATTCCATCTGTGAAATCAAAACAAGTTATCTACTTCTAAGGTACAACGGCAGGACGGGCATAGGATAGACATTCCCATTTGAAAAGGGAAAAGTAGGCCAAAAGAAAGGGTTAATAAGCCCCAAGCAAGTCCAAAGCCTAAGAGGGCAGACATTAAATCTCAAAGCTGGGGAATAATCACCCTTGACTCTATATTCAGCATCCCCCGTACCTGGAGGAATTCCTTTTTTTTTTTTTTTTTTCTGTTGTAGAGACAGAGTCTTACTGTGTTGCCCAGGCCGGTCTCAAACTCCTGGCCTCAAGCACTCTTCCCACCTTGGCCTCCCAGAGCCCTGGGATTACAGGCATGAGCCACTACGCCTGGACTGGAGGGGTTCTTTATACAGTCTGTGATATGGATTTGTGTCCCTTCCCAAATCTCATGTCGAATGAAAATCCCCAATGTTGGAAGTGGGGCCTGGTGGGAGGTGATTGAGTCCTGGGGGTGGATTTCCCCCTGGATGCTGTTCTTATGGTAGTGAGTTCTTGTGAGATCTGGTTGTTTAAATGTATAGCACCTCCCCACTCTCTCTCTTGCTCCTACTCCTGTCATTTAAGATGTGCCTGCTTTCTGTTCACCTTCGGCCATGATTGTAAATTTCCTGAGGCCTCCTCAGAAGCAGAAGCCACTGTGCTTCCTGTACGGGCTGCAGAACCGTGAGCCAATTAAACCTCTTTTCTTTATAAACTGAACTACCCAGTCTCAGGTATTTCTTTATAGCAGTGCAAAAACAGACACATGCAGTCTGGATATAAGCTCTTTGTCGTTTGTATGTGAATCTGGATGTAGCAGTACAGGTGCATTTAGTTTTGCTTCATAAGCATTTATTATGATTCCCGCATCTTCCTGTATATGCTTTACCTAAGTAAACAGATCTATAATAAAGTTCCTTAGAAGATTTTTTATATCTTCCTTTCCCCAACTACTATAATAAACAGCTAGTTGCCTTAGAGACCACTGCAGGTTTTACTATTTTACAACCTGGCCTTTAGTACTGACATTAGGCAAACTCAATGTTGTTTAATAGTGTCAAAGAAAATACTGAATGGTCTCCTCATAATCACACCAGAGATTTTCCAATTTGTGTTGATAGTTGGGAGCTTCTGGTGATCTGGGCTAAGGAGTAAGATAATGAAAATAGAATTTAGAATGTTTTGCTTAGGAATAGATGTCCAAATGGATAAGACAAAAAAGGGACCAGAGACAAGAATATCAGAGAGGAAATGGATGCTTAATGTGAATTGAAGGAATGTCTGAACTAGACTAAAATCCAAAATTACAAATGAGAAGCACAGGGAAACCAGGTGGTAAGTGTGTGCTGAGCAGTAGCTAGAAGCTTGGTGTGGCTGTGACTGGGGTGCCTGAAAGGGCCTGGGCTCTGCAGAGGTGTGTTGGAAGGTGGTGGGCTAGGAGGTCCCCTCTTCCCTGCCCCCCTTCCGTCCTTCCATGAGGTAATTGCATGCATGGGGTTGGGGACTGGCAGACAGGTAAGGACTTTGTCTACTAGGAGAGAAGAGAGTGAATGGGAGGGTGGAAGTGGAACAGGAGGAGAAAATAACTTAGACATAAAAACCCTGCAAAGTAATATAGCTATATCATGATATACAAGGTGCTCCGTGCTATGATTTTAAAAATAAGATATTTTTGAAGTCAGACCATCAGAAGTTCAAGTCTAGAAGTTTAGTCCTTTACTAGTTATAACTTAATTCAATGTACTCTTAATTAAGTTATAACTAGTAGTTTACTAGCTATGTGACTTCAAACAAATTACCTTTTTAAACTTAAGTTTTTAATCTGTAAACAGTATATAATACTAGAGTGTCATTAAGTGATTTTCTGTAAAGCAGTGGTTTAGTTAATGCCTTATTTGTAATGTGAAATTTACTTATAAATAGCTTGATAATACGTTTTACGATTAAAAAAATCACTGTCACTCATGATTAGTATATTTTATTTCATTTAGGCTAACTGCAGCATCCAAGATGCATGGTGATGAAATTACAATTGGATTATGTCTGTATTTCGTCTGGAAAACAGGACTTGAATGCAAAGGCAGCACCAAGCATATCTAGAGTGAAGAGTCTCAACAAGTAGCTTAACAAGATAGTTTCAGGCCAAAGATGATGTATTTAGTGGAATTTAGAGAATACCCCTTTATTTGAAGTTTTCCTATATTGTTGTACTGGAAATGCTTCACTGTATTCAGTCAACTAGAGTGGGTACATGGAATTTTGATATTGCACCTGATTTTGTCCCGTAGAACAATTTATTCCTCCAACACCTCCCTCAGGTGAAAATTCAAGAATTTGCATGGGTAGTCATTCTGATGCATATCTCCAAGCTTGTATCTTCTTCCCGCTGACAATGATGCGTTACAGTCTCTGGCTCTATCTACATGTGATGTGCAAGATGTCTGACAAAAGTCAGAGAAGCCCGTTGTTGAGTTTTGTCTCCAGATCTAAGGATCGGTACTTTTGCCAGATTGGGCTGCTTCTGTTTGAAAAAGACAAGCGTGGGGGTGGGAGAGATTGCTGGTTATCTTCCAGTACCTGTCTTCCTCTTCTTCCTGAATAAAAAATTTTAGCTGGGCACATGGCTGGCTGAATACAAGTTACATTTTTCAGCATCTTATGCAACCAGGTATGGCCATGTGACTGGCCAGTAAGGGTGAGCAGAGATGGTGTGTGCAGCTTCTGGTTCATGCCCCTTGCTTTGTCCCACTGTTTGGAGTGCAGTACAGGTATGGCGGTAAGCCCTGTCAGACCCTGTGGTGGGCCCAGTTCCTTAGGGTAGTCACCTCCAAACTTTGCTGCACATTAGAATTAGCTGGGGAACTTTTAAAAATCCCGGTTCCCAGGTCACACCATGTGTACCAATCAAATGAGAATGTCTCAGGGTGGAAGCCAGACATCATTGTTTAAAAAAATCAAGTGATTCCAGTGTGCAGCAGACTTTGGGAACCACTGCCTTGGGAGTTCCAGAGCAGGAACACTGAGGAAGTCTATGTTGCTGACAGCATTTTAGTCCAAGACTACCTACAACAAGGCCATCACATGTCAGAGAAACAGACTTCTACCTTGCCAAGCTAGACACCATTTCAGTGTCTCATGGAGTGATCATCTCTAAATTCCTAAAAAGTCGTAAGATTAGTGTTCAGTAGGCCCATGTGATATCATCTTTAGGATACAAGTTCTTGTTTTGATTTTGCTAAGCACTCCGTGGTGAAAATCAGTGGTGGATGCGGCAGCATTGTTAGTGCTTCGTGTTCCTAATTTGGTCTTAGTATCAAAAAGAGCCATCAGTTCCCAGTGCTCATCATCGGCCCCTTGGCCTTCTTCATTTCCCACTCCTTGCTAGTTAAATTCAGGGGCTCAATGGGTAGGTGATCCCAGTACTTGTGGCCACTTATGTGACACAGATTGATTTATTCTTGACAACTTAGTGTGCTTTCTCCATTTTGGTCAATGATGTGGGTAGTCATCCAGGTAGATATCCTGTCCTATTTACCAGTTGCGAGTTTCTCATTTCCTAATTGGTTTTCCTACCTTCAGCCTTGCCACACTTTGATCCACTTGTACATTACGGAAAGAAGTAGCTCTAAAATAAGACCCTGTAACTGCTGCTTAACAGCCTTCATTAACAGCTTTTTGTCTCAAAGTCCAAACACAAGGTCTTTCACCATTCAGATTTAAAGAGCCACCACTTTCCTTGCCATGGTGAGGGCCAGCGTTACTATATTACATTCATTCCTGTTGAATGAGATGCAGCTTTAGATTTTTTTCATTTTACTGTATTCCAAGTTAGAGTTGGCTTGAAAGATGAAAGATGTCATGGTTTGGGTTTACCAAGAAGCAGACTGTGAGATAAGAATGTGAGTATAAGTAGTTTATTTTAGAGGTAATCTTAAGGAATCTCCCAATTACACTGTGGACACTTGCATCTCAATCCCACTGGAAAACTCAACACTAGAATAGTTCTCAGTTATACCACCCAAGGGGGGAAGAAGCTGGAGCATTTATCTACCAACTGCCATTTTGCCGTTGGTTGAGTGCTGCTTTCAGGGATATTAAGCTTTCCCTTGGTGCAAATTAAGCATCCAAATCAGCCAGAAAAAAGCTTACTGAAAGAGCAGTTAGTAGCCTTCACACAGAGGTGAATGCCTGAGGCAGGGCTAGCTTCATGGACATATACCTATGGAGTTGGTTTACTGGTCTGCTGCTGTCCTCTTGAAATTCTTGAACAAGGGACCCCACGTTTTTGTTTTGCACAGGGATTCACAAATTCTGTAGCCAGATCTTGGTCTAAGGGAATATAAATGGTACAGCAGTAGCTTCTGTTACAAAACCTATTTGTCATTCCTGTGAATTTCTAAGCAGGGACCATTTTTATGCCTGCTGTCTGGTACTATGCTTGCCATTGAAGGTACTCAATGAATGTTTGTTTCAAATGATTAAATTTTCTTTTCCATTTTAATTTTTTTGACAGGTAAAAGTCTTGCAGTGAAAAACCCGAGGACCCTTACCGCAAGTGTCTTTTGCTCCCAGCTACTGATACTGGATTCCACTCGTGATTCTCCCTTTCTTAGCGCATTCATGATATAGACATCAGTCTCTGAGCTGGAGGAGGACAAAGGCAGCGGTCCTGTGAATTCTATGCTCTAGCTTGGGTTAAGGGATTTGGAATTGCACTTGTTTCAGAGGTATGTTAGAGGCAGGAAGAAATCACATAGCGGGTGTCTTGTAGGCAGGAAGAGTACTTACTAGGACTTGAAGACTATGTTAAAGGTTCTTATGTTAATTATCTATTGCCCTGTTTTTCTCCAAAGATTAATGGTTGAAAACAATAAACTTGTATTGTCTCACAGTTTGCGTGGTTAGGAATCTGGAAATGGCATAGCTGAGTGGCTCTGGCTCAGAGTCTAATGTGGTTCCAGTCGATATCAGCTGGGGCTGCAGTTCTGAAAGTGTGAGCAGGGCTGGAGGATCCTCTTCCAAGGTAGCTCACTCATGTGCCTGGCAGGGTGTGCTGGGTGTGCCTGAGGCAGAAGGTGTGTTTCCTGTCACATAAGTCTCCTTTTAGAGTGTCTTCATGGCATGGCTGCTAGCATCCCCCAGAGCAAGTGATTTGAGAGCGAGAGCAGGGAGAAAGCTACATTGTTTTTAATGGCCTAATTTCAGAAGTCACATCTGTCACTTCTGTTTGTTAAAAGCAAGTCATCGAGCACTGACCACACTCAAAGGGAGGGGAATTAGGCTCTGCCTTTTTCAAAGGAAGCATATCACAGAACTTGTAGATGTATATAAAAACACCACAGGGTTTTTAAAGAGTCTCATATTATAGAGCCTTGAGAAGTAAATTCCCATGCCCTTTACCTTACCTGTGAAGTTGCTAATCTGATACTAATTGTTCATTCTCCTGCTGTTCTGCTCAGTGTCCCTTCCCGTGTGTTGATACAATAACTAGGGTTTATAATCATCCTCTGAGAAGATAAATGTTGGGCACATAGAAGGAAAATAGATGGAGTGGTGGTGGTATGCATTTATTTCCTAGGGCTGCTTTAACAAGCTACCAAAAACTGGGTGGTTTAAAACAACAGAAATTTATTTGGTCAAAATTCTGGAGGCCAGAAGTCTGAAATCCAAGTGTCAGCCAGGTTGGTTCCTCCTGGAGGGTCTAAGGGAGCATCTATTTCATGCCTCTCTCCTAGCTTTTGGCATTTGCCGGCAATCTTTGGCATTCTTTGGCTTGTAGGCTTGTCACTACAATCTCTCCCTCCATCATCACATCACATTCTCTATGGGTGGGTCTCTTTGCATCCAAGTGTCCCTCTTACAAGGAAACTAGTCATTGAATTAAGGGTCCACCCTTAATTCAGTATGACCTCATCTTAACTTGATTATATTTTCAAAGACCCTATTTCCAAATAAGATTACATTCTGAGGTTCTGGGTGGACATGAGTTTGGGGGACACTGTTCAAACCAGTACAGGGTATAGATAATAAAACTCATGGGTGTCTCTAGATACTCTTCACCAGAGAGGAGAGTTTCCATGACACTACAATAGCCAGATGTCCCTGATGCAGGCATGCAGTTGGGCATGAACTAGTCAGATTGTAGGACTGTGGCTGCTACTAGCTCATATGTACATATCTAATTATAGGAAGCTAAGAAAATTAGTATTAAGTACAAGAGGTTGAAAATGGTAATAGCATGAAGATTATTCCTCAGAGCACTTTTCTGTGCCCTTATTGTCAAGTGGTCCTGGGAAATGGACTTTTATCAAGTCTGACTCTTATGTTACCACCTTGCTTGAGTGCTCAGTGCCATGAGATCGTCCCAGAGGTGATCCCTTGCATACCCTGGTCTTTAGGCAAAGCCTTGTTTTCAAATCGCACAAGTAAAAGATGTGCTCTGCTAAGTGACATTTCAGTGGAAGAATCAGGATATTGACAGAGGAAGCACTTTTACCTCTTGACTGGTATTTCATAGGCTAGGAAAGTATGGAACTTGATTTTCCTGTTTCTCAAACTGGCTCTATTTCTTTAGGAAGGGACCAAAAGGAGCTGCCCCTAGTATAGGGAGCAAACAGAGGTTTTCTATAAATGTTAAATTAAGGAATTTTTTTCTCATAGGGATAGCTGTTGGCATAATAGTAGCTAATGATTATCTATAGTGACTCATTGGACTTCCACAACATCAGTATATGATAGGTTTCATTACCCCATGTCTCTCCCCACCACCATTGCCATCCATCAAAACTAAATTATTGATGGTTTCCTAAATCTAATGTCTTGTTGCACCGCTTGATGCTTTTACTGTTTCTTCTTCCTGGATTTCCCTTTGCTTATATTGTGAAGCCCTCCTAATCTTGCTCTAAATGTCAGGTTATTAATGTTTTTCTCTGTACTACTTTTATATGTTTAACTAGTATTGTTGGATTATTGATATTTTCATATCTGAACTGTGCTACACTGGAGAGCTACTTTAGCATGGAGATTGGTTTTGTTTTTCATTCCCTAATAGTGCCTGACGTGTGGGGTGGGGGTGGGGGCTCAGTTCAAAGAAGGAACCCAAGGCTCAGCATGATTGAGTAATTTGCCAAAGGTCACACATCTGGTGTATGGCAGAGCTAGAAGAAGAATCCAGATCTTTAGCCACTTACCAACTACAAAGAGAAAAACACTGCACAGAAGTCAGGATGTCCAAGGACTAATACTGGGTCAACAGCTCTTGTGTTACTCTACCTTGATGAGATATTTTACCTTTGTGAAATTTTCTTTATCATTTGTAAGGCTATTTCTAGATCCGTGAACTGCAAGTTATATTTTTATGCATTTTTCCCCAAGGAATTGGAAAAAGTCTCAATATCAATATTCTATTCTATATATTCTTTTAAAAATCAATGTCTGAAGAGGGAAGTTGTAATGTAGGTGTAGAGAATGTCCTTCTCTGGCTCAGAGTATTAGGAAGTTGGACTAGGCATTCTGTAGGGCCCAGGGCTCCTCTTGACTATTGTAGCCTGAGTCTTCATACCTTCCCTGAACACTCTCCATTGATGACTATATAGCCCTTTATTTATCCTTTCCCTCATCAGCATGTTGAGGTGTCACATTTCCTCAGCAGTCTTGCTGGCGTGGGTGTCATGTGTTGTGGGGAGGCCGGGGTGGGGTGGGGGTGTGTGCGGGGTGGTCCTTTTTCTGCTGTCCAAGGTCCTGAAGATGTGTTTCTGTGTTTCCTGAAAGTTTCTCAGTTTCCCAAATGCAAGTTTGAGATTTTATTTGTTTTTGAAGAAATTAAAGAGATGATAGGTGATCTGCTAATGACTTATTGGAAGTCATAGGAGAATGGAGGGAACTACCCAGGTGATGGTGTTAGAGTTTGATTTTCTGTTCTTTTTTTTTTTTTTTTTTTTTTTTTTTTGAGACAGAGCCTTGTTCTGTTGCCCAGACTCGAATGCAGTGGTGCAGTGGTGAATTCTCAGCTCACTGCAATCTCTGCCGCCTCCCGCGTTCAAGTAATTCTAATGCCTCAGCCTCCCAAGTAGCTAGGACTATAGGCATGCACCAACATGCCCAGCTAACGTTTTGTATTTGTATTTGTATGGGGTTTTGCCATGTTGCCTGGGCTGGTCTCGAACTCCTGAGTTCAGGCAATCTGCCTGCCTCGGCCTTCCAAAGTGCTAGGATTACAGGCATGAGCCACTACACCTGGCCCAGATTTTCTATTCTTTTGCATTCCTCTCTCTTCTAGTCCCTTTCCTTTGGCTGTCTTTTTTTTTTTTTTTTTTTTTTTTTGACATTGTCTTGCTCTATCGCCAGGCTGGAGTGCAGTGGCATGATCTCGGCTCACTGCAACCTCCGCATCATAGGTTCAAGTGATTCTTCTGCCTCAGCCTCCCAGTAGCTGGGACTACAGGCACATGCCACCATGCCCAGCTAATTTTTGTATTTTTAGTAGAGACAGGGTTTCACCACGTTGGCCAGGATGGTCTCAATCTCGACCTCGTGATCTGCCTGCCTCGGCCTTCCAAAGTGCTGGGATTACAAGCGTGAGCCACCTTGCCCTGCCTCCTGTGGCTGTCTTGTTGAGTCATTTGTCTCTGCTTTTCTTGTTGCTCTGGTCTCAGTCTTGTGATTTACTCCTAGAGGTGCTGGCAAGCCTGAGCTCAGATTTAGGAATAATGGGGTTGGGACAGGAGAAGGATGAGATAGGGACTAGCAGCTGATGAAAAGGAAGGGTGGACATATTCATCGTAGGGGTTTCAGGAACTCCATTATCTCACACTCAGCCCCTTTGTCATCTCTGGGATCAACACAGTGTTATCATCGATCAGCCCCCAGATTCACTTCAGTGAATCTGTAAAGAACAAGCATGTCCTCCTCATCCCACGAATTCTGCTGCTTAGAAAGCCACCTGAAAGTGATAGCCCTTAAAGTCCTCAGTCTGCCCCTTTAGAGCACCACAGAAAGATCCCTGAATGGAGATCCTGACCCTTAAGTATGGAACTGCTGGGAAGAGCTATTTGGAGATTATCATTACATGGAGGGTTAGTAACATCACTTTCTCTTCCCTTTATCCTCATTTTTTTCCCTTAAAAAAAAACACACACACCCACACAACCATTTCTTTGCTATTTGCTGTTGGTATCCAGTATGCCATTGCTTTCTTAATTAATGAGATACATTTTCCCTTCCTGTATGCCTATTTTAATGGTCAATTTCTGATATCTCTAAACATGTCTTTGTTGTCCCCTCCCTCCATTTCCACTTCCACTGTCCTATTTCAGTTCTGGACTATAACAATTGCCTCCCTACCTTTATCTGAGCATTTGGTCTCACTCTCTTGCCACACTCCCAGTCTTTCCCCTGTATGGCCTCAGTGATATTTCTAACAAAAAACTCTGACTATAGTATTCCCCTACTCAGTCATCTTTAATGATTCTCCTTCACCTCTTGAGTAAAATCTAAATCTTTTTGGAAGGGTGTTTGAGGTTCCTCATGGTTTTGTCCATTGGGCTGGACTAAGGTTATGGATGAGAGACTTGTGAGGAAGAAAAACCAGTTCTAGAGAAATAAAGGCATGGCATCTTTGCACACTTACAAATGCAGGAAGAGAAGGTTTAAAACCATCTTTCTAGAATATGCCCTTTGGCTGGTGAAAAGAGCAAAGTTGATCCTTCATATTCCTCCTTTTTCTTAAAATCATAAATCTCTCCTCTACTTCCTTCTCTTTTGCTTTCAAATCAGCATTTTTAAAAGCCATTTCTTGGCCTGGCACGATGGCTTATGTCTGTAATCCCAGCACTTTGGGAAGCCAAGGCGGGTGGATCACCTGAGGTCAGGAGTTCGATACCATCCTGGCCAACATGGCGAAACCCCCATCTCTACTAAATATACAAAAATTAGCTGGTGCGGTGGTGTATGCCTGTAGTCCCAGCTACTCAGGAGGCTGAGGCAGGAGAATTGCTTGAACCTGGGAGGCAGAGATTGCAGTGAGCCGAGATCGCATCGCTGTACTCCAGCCTGAGCAATAGAGCTACACTCCATTAAAAAAAAAAAAAAAAAGCCAGGCCAGGTGCGGTAGCTCATGCCTGTAATCCCAGCACTTTGGGAGGCTGAGGCGGGCAGATCACGAGGTCAGGAGATCGAGACCATCCTAGCCAAGGTGGCAAAACCCCATCTCTACTAAAAATACAAAAATTAGCCAGGCATGGTGGCGCGTGCATGTAATCCCAGCTACTCGGGAGGCTGAGGCAGGAGACTTGAACCAGGGAGTCGGGGGTTGCAGTGAACCGAGATCACGCCACTGCACTCCAGCCTGGCTACAGAGCGAGACTCCGAATCAAAAAAAAAAAAAAAAACAAACAACAGCAACAACAAAAAAGCCATTTCTTGATCCTGCTTACCTGTGTAACACCATCTTCTCTTTCGCTGCAGTGAAGTTGTCTGTGTTTATCTCTGTGTTTATCTTCGTTTCCTCAGTTCTCATCATTCTTGAACTTCTGCAGTCCTCCTTCCTCTTGCTACTCAATTTACACTATCCCCATGGTCATCAGAGGTTTTTCCCTTGGTCTTCTTTCTGGCACCTGATACCACTCAAGCTACTACTTCCCCACGTCTACATTTGCTCTCTTTTGTCCCAGAAAATTATTGGATACAGTCTAGGATACAATTGCTCCCTTTGTCCCCACATATACCCTACACACCTTGCCTCTCCTACAAACCTATCCAGAATCTTCTTAATTCCCCTCACATTCCCAAAATGAGCTGAGCAGTCTTTGAAGTAAAAATTAAGCTATAGTTAAGTTTCACCTCCATTTCACTTGTGCATTTTACTCCTTTTTTTATTTTTTTAAACCTCTTTCAAATGATCCTTGGGCTTCGAGTACCATGATCTACCCAGACTTGCATTCCCTGGGCTGTGTTCTAGTTCTGGTCATGTCAGCTTTTCCCTTCTGATGAATCCTTGTAATTACTTGAGTCTCATTCTGTCAGGCAATAGCCACAGTGAAGAAGCCAGTGTGCGTTATGGCAAAGCCCAGGAAGACGTAGGTGTGAATTTTTGCTTTACCATTTCTTGCCTGTGTGACTTATGCCATGGGGCTTCACTGGTCTGGGTCCCAGTTTCTCATCTCTTAGATGACATCATTTTGTTGGGAGGATTACATGGAGTGATATGTATAATATATCTGATAACTAAGTGGTTTCAGTTAGTGGTAGTTGTTTTTATTTGACATAGTCTTGATAAGTATTAATTTCTTCCTAAGCCCAGGGTATTTGTATTTTGACAACAAATAAGTTTTAAGTAAATCAATCTATAGATATTATGGAAATCTGGACCCCTATATCCTAGCTGAGGAAGGGTATCTGGCACCCATTGCCACGTAGGAGCCCCTGGGCTCCAGGACACCAGGGAAAAGAGGTTAAATAGGTCCCCCTCCTCTGACATGATACCCAGTGATTCAGTCAGGGTACAATTGGGAAAACAACCCATACCCCAGGGACTGGTTACAAAAGTCTTGAATAGCTAAACGCAGAACAGGATGGTTAAGTTGCATTATGTAGACAACAGTGATTCAGGTGGGCAGGCCCTACCTCCTTGAGGTGTTATCTGTGGACAGATTTTTGTGCGATTGTGGCACAACCCTGGGTTTCTTTCTTCATGTGCCTGTTCTTAATGGGCCCAGGAGAGGTAATTCAAGGGAGCAAGGGACCTGTAGAATGATCATGTCCTCTTTTTTCTAGCCATAAGGTTATGAATCATATATCTCGGGGGTGTGATTCTGAAGGAAAGAAGTGTGTGCCATAGCAGGAGAATGGAAGGCAGACAGCTGTTGCTATTACTAGAGTTTTAGCAGCCCCCGTAACTCAGCTAGCCCAGACTAGGATCTCAATATGGGGTGAGATGTATTTTCCAATATTGAATAGCAAATGATGTAACTTTGTCATCTTCATGTTGATCTTAAACATCTCTCTGATGAACAGTATAAGAAAACAAATGATCACTTAGAGGATCCTGTTTGGTAGTTAAAACCGTATTAAAATAGAGAGGGAAGAAATTAAGCCTCCTTGATGGTGAAGAGATTGGGAACCACCACTCCAGTGTTAGAAAATGTCAAATGACAGAAGGTGGGCTATATTAAGTGGGAATTTCCAAACCCCACCCCCTGGAAGGAAGGAATGCTTGGTGACAAGCCTTAGAGGAGAGAGATGCTTGTCTAGCCCATTGCCTGTGTGCCCAGGAAGAGATGTGCATACCTTGAGATATAGAGAAGACTCTAGTGGGGAGAAGCCCCAGGCCAGCTTGTCAGCACAGGGCATCGGAGGCCCCCAACCAGCTCCAAGTTCTGAACAGCACACAGCCTTCAAAGGCTTGTACTGCTGCTCATACCCAGCAGAGGCCTTGCACCAGGCCTCCCCATGCAAATCAGTGTCCCCGCAGCGTAGGTAAAGGAGCTCTAGCTGTGCTCCCTATGGGGGAACAGATATACCGTGGGACACTGAGAGACTGGAAGATTGCCCAACATTTATTTACTGATCTGTGTTCACCACAGAACCTAAGGTATTTATTGGTATTGTTTCAACCAGTACGAGTGATTCTTTCATTTAGTGGTCATCTCTGCACTCCACCACAGACTTTTGGGAATTACAAGATGAAAAGGGCCACATCCTCACCCTGGCATAGCTCAGAAAATTTGGTTGGGGAAGTAGGGACATAGACGTGATCACTACACCATAATTTACTAAGCTGTGAGAACTGGAGGTGCATCAGTGACCAGAGTGCATTTGAGCCAGAGGTAGAAGGTACTGTAGACAAAAGGAACAACATGCGCTCTAGGCTGTATCATTAGGTACAATTTTCTGTCCTTGGGGGAGTCTTTTTAACCCTAAGACAAAAATTATGAATATAGAAAGAGGCCACGGTTCATCTTTGCAATTCTTTCAGGAGAAAATTTGCTGCAACTCACTTTCTAAGTTTAAAAAAAAAAAGAGTAAATGATATGAATATCACCTGAAAGAATTTGAGGTCTCAAACTTGGGAGGATCTTTGAACAACAATCTTGGGGAATGCCTAACAGTTCATACTCATTTCTTGATATCTACAGATGGAAACTCTACAGCCTTACATATATTTCTTTTTTCTTTTAACTACTTTATACTCACAGAAAATCAGTGTTCAGCACTTCTAATAGCAGGTCTAGTGGAAGCTTGAGATCAGAACAGAGTTCCATAAAGGGAAACTGAGGGCACACAAGGCAGAGCAGTACCCCCTTATCCATGGGGACCTGTCTGACTGGAAGTAAGGGAGAAGATTCTACTCCACAGAGAATCAGGGAAGGTTAAAACTGTGTGTGTTTGTGACACTTTTGCTCTCTTGGGCCCAGATACAGGCCGGAAATCCTTTGGGTTCTGGTGACTCAAAGTGTGGCCAAAAGGACCAGCAGCTTTAGCTTCTCTGGGAGAACATATGAGTGCAGAATTTCAGGCCTGCACCAAGTTTTTAAACGTCTGCATTTTAACAAGCTGCTCTTAATTTGCTTACGTATTAAAATTTCCAGAAGCACTGTTCTAGGACCATCTTTAAGTGTTATCCAAAAACATGTAAGATCTTTTTTCAAAGCAAATTCTCAAGCTCTACCCTAGAGGGATTGCTTCTGGTTCTCTGGGGTTGGTGCAGGAATCTACATTTTCGGCAAGTGCCTTAGATCCTTGTGCACACTAGCATTTGAGGATTGCTGCCTTAGATGGTGGGAAATCTGAGCAGGGGAGGGCTGTGGGCTGAAAATGAAATGATGATGTTTAGGAACTGGCACAAGCATGCTTCTGCTCCTGGTGGGAAGCAGTGGGACAGATCCAGTTGATTGTAGAGAATGCAGACCTCGTGTCATGCTCAAGTGTCACCTTAATGTAATGGCTGGAGACAGCCACATATGACCCTCTCATTGTCCAGTCAGTAAGCTCAATCAATGACAGGAACCACTGACTCTGGTAATTAAAAACTTATTGTGGCCGGGCACAGTGGCTCACGCCTGAAATCCCAGCACTTTGGGAGGCAAAGGTGGGCAGATCACCTGAGGTCAGGAGTTCAAGACCAGCCTGGCCAACATGGTGAAACCCCATCTCTACTAAAAATACAAAATTAGCTGGGCGTGGTGGGGTTGCCTATAATTCCAGCTACTCAGGAGGCTAAGACAGGAGAAACACTTGAACCCAGGAGGTGGAGGTTGCAGTAAGCTGAGATCGCATCATTGCACTCCAGCCTGGGCAACAAGAGTGAAACTGTTTAAAAAACAAACAACAACAACAACAACAAAAACACTTATTGGTGGGCAGGTTCTCATAAGAGGCCATGGGAAAGCCATGTCCTATCTCAGGGACACAGGGTCATCTGGGCCTCTGGCTAATAGAGGCCAAATAATGGGACTATTTTCCCTGTGAAATCCTGAAAACCAAAAATGGTGGCGTCTTTATCTGCATTAGCAGAGGTAATTTGCTCCTTCTTGAAATCCAAGGTCACGTCTACTGTCTGGGGATTTTGATCCAGGGTCAGTGTGGTTTCTCCTTTACAGGAGAGCCGAGTCTCAGAAAGGTGAGGTGGTTTGTGTTGGTCATTGGCTACCTCAGATTTTAGAGCAGCTCTACCTTGATTGTGGGGTTGACCTAATTTTTTTTGCTGTCTTCTTTCTTCTCCAGGTGAGGAAAGAGGACTTCCTGTATATCTCTATCCTTTTGTTTCCATTACTCACTTTCTGTGGCTGCTGCTGCAGAAGCCACTGCTGACTGATGTGGATACCTCAATCTTTGGTTTACAAAAAGCCTAGGTGTCTTTTGGCCTCTCTCCAGGTTGATAGCCATGGCTCCTGAAAGAAATAAAAGATGATCATCTTTCTAAAAAGTCTTAAGTCTGAATTATTAGTAACTTAACTGGAGAATCTCACTTTTCCTACTCTCGTATTTTAACCACAGTTGCTCTAACACAGACCTTTGAGGATCTTTTCATGACTTCATTCACAAATACCTATTTATGCTGTACAGATGCTACTAGGAAGGAAATAGGGATGTCTGTTTTGACTGTGGAACTTAACTTGGTCTCGTCTCTTCGTGCATGCAACCCTGTCCTTGGGATAGCTTTCTTGAGCATATCTACTTATGTTCAAGAGGTAAATTGTCCTGAAACCCCCATTGCTATAAGTATTTATTTTATTACTCATAATACTTAATGCTCCTAAAGTTGGGGTATTTTTTTTTTTGGATACCTAAACTTCATTGAGATACTTTGAACTATTTATAGAGAAAACGGAACCTTCTAATACCTGGCTTCTATTTCTTAAAATGTTATGATCATACATGGCTTAGGGCTTTATGGCCAAATAACTTCACTGAACCCAGGAAAAAGAATAGATCCATCCGAAACAGACCTGTAGCTTCCAGAGGCCTAAATTTTCGGCTCCATTTGTATCCTTCATTTTCTGTGAGGTAAAGAAGTGGAAGGAGACAAGCCTCAGCCCTTCCCCTGGCACCTTTACTCTTCGCCCTTCCTCCTGGCATGGTGGAAAGTGCACTGGAGGAGGAGTGAAGGGCCCTAGGTTTGCATCCATATTCTGCCACTTGCCAACCTTAATGGCCCTTACAATTGATTTACCCTCATGAAATTTGGAATGATTTCTAAAGTCTTTCCTCGCCCTGAATGTTAACATTTTTTGATAGTCAGGACTTTCTGTAGCTTCACCTTCCTTATTTAGTGTTATTTTTTTCTCAAGACTGAACAGAGAGGGAAGCTGTCAAAGTGTGCTGGGCACACACCCTGCAGTGGGGCAATGGCCAATTCTAATCTCAAGTCATTAGGCTGCAGTAGCATGACCACTGCTTCCTGTCTACCCTCAGAGGGTAGAGACAGCTGAGCTCCTGTAGTTGGGGTCAGGCCCAGCCACTCTGTGGGGACAGTGATTAGTGTTGTGTCACCAATTCAGGGAAGGAGCCACCTTGTCTTATTTTCCCTCTTGAATTATCTTGATATGACCCCATTATAAATTTCCTTTTGTAAACCTCTGTCTCCCAATTTCTCCTTTTAGCTTACTTTCTATTGAAGTAGAGGAACAGAGTACAACTTCCATCCTCTTTCATCAGCCCTGAGAGCAGAACGCAAGCGCCGTTACTGGGAACTATATCCTTGGCTCCCTGGATGTGGCTATTAACTTCTGGCCTGCCACTCTATCACATACACATATGGAGATGGTGTCATCCATGTACCTTACCCCGTATTTACAACTTCTATCACCCAACAGTGCCAATGGCCCTGATGGTCCCTCTGGGAGGGAGAGAAGAGTAAGCTGGAGTCACCCCTTCCCTGTACTTCCCACCTCGCCAGGCCTGTTGGTGTTAGTGTCCCTTCTGATCTTGGCCTGACCCCTGTGCCCTGGGCACTGGGCTGCAGGTTGGAGAGGCAGCATGATGGAGTGGGGATAACACATACTCCAAAACCAAACAGAAGCCAGACCTGGGTTGGGTCCTGGCGAAACAGTCTAGAGGCTTGGTGACCTTAACCTCCTAATTAATCTTCCTAAGCATAAGTTTCCTTATCATAAGTTATGTATGATAAAATTTTCCTTGGATGCATTCATTTTAGCATGACTTGAAATTATGTGTGAAGGAACCTGGCCCACGGAAGTTGCCCTGTAAATTCAGATTCACTTTCCCTTGGACATATGGATGACATTAGCTCATTACAGTTATGACCTCCCTAAAACTCCCAAATATTCTTTAAGTTCTTCTCTTATTTTCCCTTTAGTTTGTAGTCATATTTCTTAGTTCTTATATCAGTTGGGATTCCCACATCTTCTAGTTGGACAATATTGGAGAAGACACCACATTTTAACTGAGTTCCAGTGATATGACAGGCTTTCAATTCTCTAATCTCACAGAAGTTAGAAAAAAAGTAGATAATCAAAATCCACAGAAAATATAGAAGATTCCATTAACTCTGAGAATGATTCTCAGGTATCCTTAGGACCTCAAGAAAGCTGTTCTCTCCTGGGCCTGTAGAGAGTTCAAGTGCCAGGAATCTACCACAAAGTAGCCGGGAGGTGCAGGGCAGCAGGGGGCACAGTGAAGTGCTGAAGGGCTTCTCAGTCTTCTTTAATTAGAGTGAGAAGAAAAGAGCACCTCCTCATTTTAGAGTACATGGTGTGAACTCACTCTCAGCTGCCAAGTGAGCTTCACCTTGGGCTGTTTTGCATGCTTTCTCCTAGTGCTTTAAGCCACCCTGAGATGTACAGACCAATACTGGCCATCACAAAAATATACTCGAGTACATAGACCATTGACACTATAAAGCAAGTAAACAATGAAGTCTACATAACAGCCAAATAACAACATGATGATAGGATCAAATCTGCACATATCAATATTAACCTTGAATGTAAATGAGCTAAATGCCTCAATTAATAGGCAGAGAGTGGCAAGTTGGACAGAGAAGCAAGACCCAACTGTATGTCTTCAAGAGACCCATCTCATATGCAGGGACACCAATAGCCTCAAAGTAAGGGATGGAGAAAGATCTATCAAGCAAATGGAAAACAAAAAACAGCACTCTCTGTCCAACAAAAACAGAATATACATTCTTTTCAGCTGCACATGGTACATACTCTTAAAATCGACCACAATTGCTTTATTGGCCAGAAAGCAATTCTCAACAAATTCAAGAAACCTGAAATACCGGCCAGGTGTAGTGGCTCACACCTGTAATCCCAACACTTTGGAAGGCTGAGGTGGGCAAATCACTTGAGGTCAAGAGTTTGAGACCAGCCTGGCCAACATGGCAAAAACCCATCTCTTCTAAAAAATATAAAAATTAGCCGTGCATGGTGGCATGCGCCTGTAATCCCAGCTACTTCGGAGGTTGAGTCACGAGAATTGCTTGAACCTGGGAGGAGGAGGTTGCAGTGAGCTGAGATCACGCCATTGCACTCCAGTCTGGTTGACAGAGTGAGACTCATCTCAAAAAAACAAAAAAACCCTGAAATACCAACCACACTCTTGGACCACAGTGCCATAAAAATAAATACCAAGAAGATCTCTCAAAACCATATAATTAAGTGGAAATTAATCTACTCCTGAATGACTTGGGTAAACAAAGAGAAATTAAGGCAGAAATCAAGAAATTGTTTACAACTAATGAAAACAAAGATAAAAACATACCAGAATCTGGGACACAGCTAAAGCAGTGTTAAGGGAAAACTATAGTGCTAAATGCCCACATCAAAAAGATAGATCTCAACCTAACATCACATCTAGAGGAACTAAATAAACAAGAGCAAACCAACCCCAAAGCTAGCAGAAGAGAATACCCAAAATCAGAGCTGAACTGAACAAAATGGAGATGAGAAAAACCGTACAAAAAATCAAAGAAAGCAAAAGTTGGTTCTTTGAAAGAATAAATAAGGTTGATAGGCACTAACTAGACTAATAAAAAAAGGAGGGGGGAGATAATCTAAATAAACACAATCAGGAATGACAAAGGGGACGTTGTCACTGACCACACAAAAATACAAAAACCGCTTGGAGACTATTATGAACACCTCTGCACACAAACTAGAAAACCTAGAAGAATGGATAAATTCCTGGGAACATACAACCTCCCAAGATTGAACCAGAAATTGAAACCCCAAACAGACCAATAACAAGTTCCAAAATTGAATCAGTAATAAAAAGCCTACTAACCAGAAAAAGTCCTGGACCAGATGGATTCACAGCCAAATTCTACCAGACATATAAAGAAGAACTGGTATCATTCCTACCGAAACTATTCCAAAAAATTGAGAAAGAGGGACACCTCCCTAACTCAGTCTGTGAGACCAGCATCATTCTGATACCAGAACCTGGCAGAGACACAACAGAAAAAAAGAACTTCAGGCCAATATCCCTGATGAACATATATGCAAAAATCCTCCACAAAATACTACCAAATGAAATCCAGCAACACACCAAAAAGCTAATCCATTGTGATCAAGTAGGCTTTATCCCTGGAGTGCAGAGTTGGCTCAACTTACCCAAATCAATAAATGTGATTCATCACATAAAGAGAACTAAAAACAAAAACCACATGATACCTTAATAGATGCAGAAAAGGCTTTTGGTAAAATTAAACATTCATTCATGTTAAAAACCCTCAACAAACTAGGTTTGAAGTTATAGTCCTCAAAATAATAAAAGCTATCTCTGACAAACCCAAAGCCAACATAATACTGAATTGGCAAAAGCTAGAAGTATTCTCTTTAGGAACTGGAACAAGACAAGGATGCCCACTCTCACTACTCCTATTCAACATAGTACTGGAAGTTCTATTTGGAGCAGTCAAGTGAGAGAAAGAAATAAAAGGCATCCAAATAGGAAGAGAGGAAGTCAGATTATCTCTCTTCATAGATAATGATTCTATACCTAGAAAACTCCATGGTCTCTTCCTGAGGGCTTCTAGATCTGAAAAAGAACTTCAGCAGAGTTTCAGGATACAAAATAAGTTTACAAAAATCAGTAGCATTTCTATACACCAATAACATCTAAACCGAGAACCAAGTGAAGAATGCAGTTTCATTCACAGTAGCCTCAAGAAGAATAAAATACCTAGGAATACAGCTAGCCAAAGAGGTAAACAATCTCTGCAATGAGAATTTTACAAGACACTGCCCAAAGAAATCAGATTACACCAATGGGAAAACATTCCATGCTCCTGGATAGGAAGAATTAATATTGTTGTTAAAACTGCCATACTAGTCAAAGCAATTTACAGATTCAGTGTCAAACTACCAATGACATTTTTCACAGAGTTAGGAAAAAAAATTCAAAAATTCATATGGAACCAAGAAGGAGCCCAAATAGCCAAAGCAATCCTAAGCAAAAAGAACAAAGCTGGAGGCATCACACTACCTGTCTTCAAATTATGAGGTTACAGTAACTAAGACAGCATGGCACTGGTACAAAAACAGACACATAGACTAATGGAGCAGATTAGAGAACTCAGAAATAAAGCCACATACCTAAAACCATCTGATCTTTGACAAAATTGACAATAACAAGCAATGGGGAAAGAACTCCCTATTCAATAAATGGTGCTGGGATAACTGGATAGCCATAGGCAGAAGAATGACACTGAACCCCTATCTTTCGCCATATATAAAAATCAACTCAAAGTGGATTAAAGACTTAAATGTAAAACCTAAAACTATGAAAATACTAGAAGAAAACCTAGGAAATACCATTTTGAGCATCAGCCCTGGCAAAGACTTCATGATGAAGACTCCAAAAGCAACTGCAACAAAACCAAAAATTGCCAAATAAGCCTTAATTAAACTAAAGAACTCCTGCACAGAAAATGGAACTGTCAACAGAGTAAACAGCCTACAGAATGGGAGAAAACATCTGCAAACTGTGCATCTGACAAAGGTTTAATAACCAGAATCTATAAGGAACTTAGTAAGCAAAAAAGAACCCCATTAAAAAATGGGCAAAGGACATGAACACTTTTCAAAAGAAACATAAGAAAAAAAATGCTTAATATCCCTAATTAGGGGAATGCAAATCAAAACCACAATGAGATACCATCTTACACCAGTCAGAAAGGCTATTATTAAAAAAGTCAAAAACTAACTGATGCTGATGAGGTTGCAGAAAAAAGAGAATGCTTATACACTGCAAATGGGAATGTAAATTAGTTCAGCCATTGTGGAAAGCAGTCTGGAAATTTCTCAGAGAACTTAAAACTACCGTTTAACCCAGCAATCCCTTTACTGGGTATATCCCCAAAGGAATATAAATAGTTCTACCTAAAGACACACGCACATGTATGTTCACTGCGGCACTATTCGCAATGGCAAAGATACGGAATCAACCTAGATGCCCAGGTTCGGTGGCTCACGCCTGTAATCCTAGCACTTTGGGAGACCGATTCGGGTGGAGTTCGGCGAGGTCAGGAGTTTGAGACCAGCCTGGCCAACATGGTGAAACCTTGTCTCTACTAAAAATACAAAAATTAGCTGGACATGGTGGCAGGTGCCTGTAATCCCAGCTACTCAAGGCAGGAGAATCGTTTGAACCTGGGAAGCAGAGGTTGCAGTGAGCCGAGATCGCGCCATTGCACTCCAGCCTAGGTGACAAGGCGAGACTCTGTCTCAAAAAAAAAAAAAAAAAAAGAAAATGTACATATACACCGTGGAATAGAATACTACACAACCACGAAGAATGACATAATGTCCTTTGCAGCAGCATGGATGGAGCTGGAGGCCATTCCTTAAGACAATTAATGCAGGAACAGAAAACCAAATACTGTATGTTGTCACTTTTAAATGGGAGCTAAACATCGAGTACACATGGACACAAGGGAGCAACAGACACCAGGACCTACTTGAGGGTGGAGGGTGAAAGGAGGGTGAAGACTTAAAAACTACCTTTTGGGTATTATGCTGATTACCTGGGCGACAAAATTATCTGTATACACAACCCCCACAACATTGTAATTTACCCATATAACGAACCTACACATGTACCCCTTGAACCTAAAATGGAAGTTGAATAGTGAAAAAAAATAAAAAAATATATTTTTAATCAGGGAGAAGGGGACTGGGCATTGTGGCTTCTACCTATAATCCCAGCACTTCAGGAGATTTGCGGCAGGAGGATTGCTTGAGGCCAGGAATTTGAGACCATCTTAGGGAACATAGTGAGACCCCATCTTTACAAAAATTTTAAACATTAGCAGGTATGGTGGCATGCGCCCATAGTCCCAGCTACTCAGGAAGATAAGGAGGGAGGATCATTTGAGCCAGGAGTTTGAGGCTGCAGTGAGCTGTGACCACGCCACTGCAGTCCAGCCTGGATGATACAGCAAAATCGTGTCGAATGAAAAAGAGGGATGGGGGCAAAAAATTTTGCCTTGAGCCGGCCCTGCCATTAGATGAACCCATTAAGAGCAATTTCTGTTTGGTAGACTCAGAGTTCACTGATGGATGCTGTCGTTGTTAGATCACTTTAAAAACTGTACAGTGTGGTCCAGCACAGAGCACAGTCTTTCAAATGAAAGAAAGCTGGATTTAAATTCTGACTGTGTCTCCTAGGGTGTAGCCTTGAACCAAGGACATTCCTTCAACTCTTGCTTTGATCATAAGTAAAATGAAGGATAATCAGTAATGTGAGTATACTGAAAAAAATGAAAGCACTGAGCATGGTGCTGGCATCCAAGAGAGGCTCAATAATTTTCTTTATTTTTATTTCATAGAATTCCTGACCTCAAAGAACATATCTATGAGTGATTTCTGATAGGGAAACATGTTGACCTTGTCCCAAATACCTAGTGCTTTCAAAAAATAGTAACATGTCTAACAGTCTATACAAATTCTTCTCTCTTGTCAGGTAGAAGTGAGAGCAAGAGTCGTAACAGCAAACACCCTTCTGACCTCTGAAATGCTTCAAACTTTAGATTACAAAGATTTTGTTGTCACGGACCGGGACACAGCTGGGGGTGTTGGAAACCACACCCACTTCTGCCTGAGGGAAAGACAGGATAGTAGCTAGGTGACCACTAGATACCCTCTCTCAGAGTTGAAGGGTCCTTAAGCCTGAGAGGTCATTATTGTCATCATCTGTGCCCTGTAATGAGGTGTTAGTAGGGGTGATATGTATTTCTTCTGGACTGGGAATTTAACTGCTGGTTTATGTTCTTCCAGAGCTCCCTCTTTGCCCACTAGCAGGGCATTAGCTGGTGCTGAAGACAGTGGCTGCTTGGCGAGCCTGGATCTCCAAGTGACCCCCTCAGCAACTCCTGATGAACAGGTAGCATGTAAAAGAAATCTTTTTGGTTTATACCAGTGAGATACGGGAGTTGTATATCATTGCAGCATAATCTAGGCTATAGATGATGCAATACTGCTACATTAGGGTCTTTGATTTCTAGTCAGGCCCTATGCCTAGGATAGCTTACTGCTGGCACACTCTTCAGCCAGTCTCTCAGCTCTGCACAGCACCAGATATGCCAGGATTTTGGCCTTTGATTCAGAGCTCTTTTCTGGAATTTTCTTCATGACCAGAGAATACCTCTGTCTTGCTTTGCTGACAAGAGGTATTAATCTAGAAATGGCTATAGTTATAGTTCATACAGGAAATGTGTTGCAAAAAATTGAGCTAATCTAGAGAAGAGAAAATAAAAGATGGGAAGTCTTAGTTGCATTCAAATCCCTGGTTCCAGTTGTACCTGAGGTGCAGTTACATTATTGTTCCTTTAGTTTGCTAAATAAGATAATGAATCCCCATGTTGACAAGGTTAAGTTAGATTTCTATAATTTTTCTAGGAATAACATAGTGTTTTTATTTGCCCAGATGTTATAGCTCACCTAAAAAAACCCTATCTATCCAGGGCTTTTGTTGCCTTTTTTTTTTTTTTTTGAGACGGAGTCTCGTTCTGTTGCCCAGGCTGGAGTGCAGTGGCGTGATCTCAGCTCACCAGAACCTCAGCCTACGGGATTCAAGTGATTCTCCTGCCTCAGCCTCGCTGGTAGCTGGGACTACAGGCATGCACCACCACACCTGGCTAATTTTTGTATTTTTAGTAGAAATGGGGTTTCACTGTGTTGGCCAGGCTAGTCTCAAACTCCTGACCTCAGGTGATCTACCCGCGTAAGCCTCCCAAAGTGCTGGGATTACAGGCATGAACCACCATGCCTGGACTATTGCCATTTTCAGTGTTGTGTCCAGTGATGTTTCCTTCACACCAAGAAGTCTTCAGGGGATTCATATATGGATTGTGAAATCCTCTAGTGACATGGAAGTTTCTGTGTCATGCAGATAGAGAAATTGTGATGCCTGGATGCCTGAGGTTTTTTGGAGTGAGGTACTATGCATTTGCAAGTAATTGTAAACTGTATAATCCAGGATTAAAAGATAAACTATTGTTGCATTTAGAACTGTGTTTAGAATACAATAATTTGTTGTTGTTTTGTAATAGGACTGAAGCCAATATTAAAGCAAGTCAACCAAAGGTTCTCTGGTGTAGACAAGACAGCAAAAGGACAGACTACCTTGTGGAACCTAGCATTGTTCTCCTTCTGCAGCACTAAGTAACATTTGTTCTCCGTTAAGATCTTTGCAAACCACACACAAGAATTGCTGGTCATCCTGCCAATAGATGCTGCTCACAGAACCAAATTTCCTGTGCTGAATTGTCACTCATGGGCTTGAGAGTAGGAGACTGGAGACCAAGGTGGCTAGAATCCAGTTGGGCCTGATGTCTCCCTGTTGAAAGGGCTCCTTGTGGAATGAATAGCACATGGCTCCTGTGGTGGATCTGATAGTGGCATAGCACCAAGTGATGCAGGCCTGCCAGGGGCCACAGACACAGAAGATGCTCCCGGGGTCCCCCATGTACTCCAGACACACTGCAGGCCACCTCTCCCAGCAGGTTGCCAGTCATGGGCCCCATCATCATGACTTCTGTCCAAGGTGTGCTCGGAAATCTCTTCCTTAACTGTGACTTTCTGACAGGTGGAGGATGTGGTCAGGAGTGGGAAAAGGATTCGAGACGGGAAGAGGGAGGGGTTCAGGATGAAGAGAGATAATCTGTGCCACAGATGCTGGCCCTGCAGTTAGCTCCCACCTAGTCCGTGCACACACATTCTAATCCCCTCCCATTCCTTTACATGCTGCGGCCAGAGAGGCCTTTCTCAAAGTGGAAGTCTCATCCTCACTTCTCTGGTTACAGTGCTGGGCCATGGTAACTTACAAGGCTTAGCAGGAACTGTCTGCGCACTCCCCCTTCCTGCCCACTACCTTGTTTCCCTCCAGTTGCGAGAGAAAACATTGATTGAGCATTAACTATGTGCCAGGCTTGTCCTAAGTCCTTTGCATGTATTCACTCAAACAATCCTCACAACATTCCTATCACATCTCCCATTTCACAGTGAGGGTTCTAAAGCACGTAGTGGGTGAGGAACTTGTCCAGGGTCACACAACTAAGTGGGGGTGGAGAAACATCAAATCTAGGTGGTCCAGGTGGTGGCCAGAACCCATCAGCACCTCACTACAGCTGCCTCCAGTTTCTCGCTCTAGGAAATACTCTTCCCTGTCAACTCCTGTTGTCCTCTGGGCTCAGTTGACATGTCATCTCCTTGAGGAGGACATCCTGAGATGCTCCCCGACTAGGGTGGGCACCCACTTCCACACTCCAAATGCCTATTTGACCTGTGTATCGCTGCATCCCCACTGCCTGGCAGATAGCAGGCCCCTAATAAATATGATTTGAGCAAATAAATATAGTTCTTCAAAAAATAGGGAGGACTTCTTGCTTCAGGTAATGGTAGGCTAGGACATTTGGACCAACCCTCCTGCAGAAAATAGCCATTTATTTTGATGCAATATATCTGGCTATGACTAGAGATTTCAAATATTTGGAGGGCTATTATGTGAAGAACTAAACTTACTCTTTGTGACATAGAGGTCAGAAATTGGTCGTTTCCATAGAGTATGAGAGAGACAGAATTGTGCTCATCATAAGTATCTTTTTTAAAAGTTAGACTTAATAAAATGGGCTGCCTTGGTAGGTGGTGAGTTCTCTGTCACGAAAGAGATTCAGCCACTTGCTCTGAGAAAGCATGGAGAATATCAACATTGTAAGGGTCGACCACCTCATCTCTGAGGCCCCCTCCTCACTTAGGTTGCCATTGCAGGTGGAACACTGGGCTGAGTGTCAAAGAACCTGGGTTCCACAAGCTGTGCGACCATGGCTGGTTGTTTTGGATCTCATTCCTAATATCTGTTAGTTAAGCTGACCCGTCAATACTGACCCACTTCACAGAGTTATGAAGGGATTAAATTAGGTATTACATGTAAATCTGTTTTGTTTGCTTTTTGTTGTTCTTTTTTGTTTTGCTTTTTTCTTTGCATTATGAAATCCCAAGTCAACTTTTTCCATTCTTTTATTTTTTTAAAAATTGACATCATCATTATAACCACAAAATAATTTTTAAAATGGAAAAAAAAAACTCACCTGCAACCCCACAATCTAATACAATAATCATACTTTTTTCCCTTTATTCTCCTTTATTGTGACCAAGGATGACTTTGGGCATTGCTGTGAGGAACTATTTCGTTTAACACCCTACTACCTGAACATGATGCGTACTCAGCCTTTCACCACCCCCCAAGTAGCTACACATGATGTGATAATAGTATTGGTGGTGGTTTTAGAGAGTTGGAGAGAAAACTGAAGTTGGATTTGGGTAAAAGAAAAAAGAGTGGGAATTATTTTTTCTCCATTCTAAAGCCCATAAAGCAATGTTAATTGTTCCCACCCCTCTGCTATTCTGTCTCCTCAGGTACTGTGTGCAGAAATGTGATTGAGATTCAAGTCAGGGCCTCTCTGCCCTTTTCCCTCCAGAAACAAAACCAAGATAATTTATCCTGAACACGGTGAAAAAAGGAAGGGAGGGAGGAGAAAAAGTCCGGGTCTCACCTGGGATTCTCTGTCTCCTGCAACATGAAGGATTTAGCCTGGGAGGAGGTGGTGAGAACTCTGGGAGAGAAAAAAGAAGGAAAGAATAGTTTTACCCATGCTGAAGTTAATTTAAACCTTCACCTAGAGAAGCAAAAAAAAAAAACCCACACTTTCCCATTTTGTGCCTCCCTTCCTAGAGTTTTAGCCAAAGGTTTAGCTAAGTAATTGGTTTTACCAGCGCACTCACTCCTCCTATCCCAAGTCTGTTTGACTCCCTCCCCATCATCCTCCTCACCTCTTTTCAGGCAGGGTGGGGATAGCAGCAGGAGGAGATTTTGGGAGCCTGGCAACTCCTGCAAGGACCGCAGGACAGCCCCTCTGTGGGGATGCGTGGTGCCCCATCTGCCGCCCTTCTGAAGAATGCACTGCCTTCACTTTTTACTGTGTTAGAGTCCATCCAGACTGTTCTATCCAAAAAAGTTTCTTTTTCCCCCACAGGCAATCAGGAAATGATTCCTTTCCCGACTGCTTCTGTCTAGTGCCTGGGAATCTTGAGTCAATCCCTCAGTAAGTCAGTGACTAGGGAAATCCCTCTCTGAGCCTCCCAGTTCATGTTGCTTAGGGAACCTGATATTTTCGTGAAACCTGCCTACACATGGGCAGCCCAACAGCAGAACAAATGGTGGTGACCAAAGTGAACAAAGAAGTATAGTTGTGCCAGCTTCGTAGTTGCCCATGTGGACAAGTCAGCAGGATCAGGACACGAGGAAGAGTAAATGTGAGACAGTCAATGTGACTTCTGCGATAAACAGATTTTTAAACCCCGAAATTTTGCAAAATTTTGGTGAAACCTGAACTTTCTTCGTTGCATATACTGGCACTATCTGTACCATCATACAACTGTCTCACATTAAAGCTATTTTTCTTGGGCACTGATGAGTAAGGTTGGTATAAGTTCCTCAGATCAACAAAAACCCATTTTCCTGTAAGTCTTACATTTAGTATTTAAGGAACTAAAACTTAAATACATTTTGTGAAATGGTTGACACTTCACTGATAATGATTTATTGCTTGGATTAATAAATTTTCCAAAAGTTGTCTTATGTAGAATATGGTTTGCAACCAGCAGAACCATTAATCTATACTGCAATGATATGCACTATGTATAATTGTTTAAAAGCCTCTACTTAATGATGTAAAATGCTCTATTTAATTACACATTTGGGTAAACTGTATACTAACATCTGATGGCATTTTTCCACTGTTTGTTGCTTTTTTCAAATACTTTATTGTACAAAGCTGTTCTTAATATTTTTCAAGTTTTTTTCTTTGAATTTTGCTAATGTTTTCCTTGAATTATGAGCACTGACAGAATGTGCTTAGCACTTTTGGCTATTCACACAGCTTTTGAGCATGATTTGCATCCAATATTTACATTGCTAGCAATAATAAGCCATCTGTGAGTTTTGTCAAAAGTTATTGGGGATTTTTTAAATTTTAGAAATGCAAATTATTGTTTCTTTGAACTAACTCTTATGCAGTTGCAAAGGCATTTCCAGTTGTTATAGTTTGTGTACAATATCAGGTGTTCCAGATTATGATTCATTATTAATATCATTGCTTCCTTGTTCCCTCTGAGGTCCAGAAGATTCATGTTTACAATATTTAGAAACAATGTTAAAAAGGTATCCAAAGTTTGTCACTTTATTATTAGTTTGTTCTTAATATTCTGTTTAAGTTTTTGAATTCATAGATATCAAAACGCTGCACAATTATGATTTCCACAGGAATAACAACACACTAACAATAAGAACCAAAAACAGCAAATAGGCTGCCTACAAGTTTTGACAATATTAGGATAATGATAATGACAGTTTTTCTAAATCTCACAGTAAAGAATGCAGCAACCCAGCAACACTGCTACCTGTGGCCTCAGGCTGCAGTGTCAGCTCTTCCCTGGGTCTCCAGCCTGCCAGTCTAACCTGAAAATTATGTACTTGCCAGCCCCCACAGTCACGTGAGTGAACTGGCCCAGGCTGGTCACCAGGGTCAGTTTCTCTGTGTGTCATTAATTCATTCAGTCTTCAGCAGTCTCTTTGGAGCTGAGATGTACCTACCATCTGCCTTTTGGGTGCTTAGGGTGGAGAACCAGAAAAGTATAACCTAGTGTGTATCCTCAAAGAGCTAACAATATGGGGTGGTACCTATAGGTCTGGAAACACTTTACTGACTCTGTGAGGCATACCAGGAGACGTCAGAGAACAGTCCCTCCTCAAATGCCAAATGAGATGCAGAAGAAATAGTTTGCTCAAGTTCATGGGCCAGATATCCCAGTGGTCAGGGAGTTTCATGAATGAGATGGAACTTTGCATGGAACCCGAGGGATGTGTATGATTTGAGTAGATGAAGAAAATGAGACTTTCCAAGCAGCTAGAAGTTAGGGAGCAGCAAGATGTGTGGTGGGATTGAGCACAGTTGGTTCAGAGGATAGACTGCAGTTTTAATAATTTGTAGTAAATATCTCCCAACTGTTTGGCACTATTGGAGCAAGTTCTTGAATGCCAAATGAAGGCATAAATCAGTAAGAGGCATAATAAAAGGCTGAGCAGTGCTTGGCTTTTTACGAACTGATCCTGATAGGAGCAGCTGTTCAACAAAGTTGCCAGGTCACCGTTACATAGTCCCTGCCTTCTAGGGGCTCACTGCCTACTGGGAGAGACAGTCTGAAAGTTGGTGGAGCATGTAACTGTTGGATGAGGACTTTGAGCCTGTGGACTGTGGGACCCCCGAGGAGGGTGTGGCTACTCTAGGCAGAACAATCCCACAGTTTATTTATATTTAACCTTGAAATTCATTAGAGGATTTTTCAGCAGAGGTTTGGTACTTGTTAATGTTAAGGTTTGCATTCTCTAGAACCTCAAGGAAAGCTGTACCGTGCATAATGTACCCTCTTATGTTAATGTTGTGTACTGTGATCCTGTTTCAGGGACTTGCACTTAGGAATCTGTTACAGTGAGCACAGAAGCAGACCTGTGGGCTCATAGTCTTCACCCCCCACCCATATATACAAGATGAACAGAGTGGAGGTTAAACAACTTGACTAAACAACACAGTTCATGGTAAAGCCCAAGACTGTACCTGCCCATCCACTGCCTTTTCCATGTATCCTGGAACTGAGCATAGACCTCTTCCCAGGCAGAGCTGACAGCAAGTAAAGGAGATCATAATCAGGGGACCAAACAACTTTGTCTAAAGTGTGAATGTCACCTAAGGAGAAGCTGTGAGATCAGAAGGGTGGGGCAGAGGAGCAGACACCATGAGGGAGAGTCCTTGGGGGTACATCTGCCAGACTGACACTGTCTGGCCTGGGCAGTGGAGGGGCTAGCAGGAACCACAGGTACTGGTGGTGTGGCTACTACCGTTACAACTGCCTGTGCTTGGACATGGACCCTCTGCAATATGCGGCAGTTTCATTCATTGCCCCCTACATTCTACACCAAGTAGAAATGGAAGGCAATTGGATACTTCACAGACAAGATCTAAGTGGAGAAGGAATGCGTCCTGTGGCTGCAGAGATCCTTGGAGCTTGGAGGGGAGAGCTTGAGCCCCACTGATGATGACCTCCCACAGCTCGCCAACTCAGCCCTCCCTAAGTCCCCATCGGGGGCCAATTCTCACTCTGGGGTTGGGGGGACTCCACCATAGCTCATCCATCATAGGGATGTTGGTATCTACTGTGGGTTGGGTAGGGCCGATGTGCTGAGGATGGCTCCCCCACAAGCAAGAGATGTGGATTTGGGGAGCTTCCCATCTTGTGTTGAAGGAACATAACTCAGAATAATAAGAGCCAACTATAACAAACCCACAGCCAACATCATACTGAATGGGCAAAAGCTGCAGGCATTCCCCTTGAAAAGTGGCACAGGATAAGGAAGCCCTTTCTCACCACTCCTATTCAATATAGTGTTGAAAGTCCTGATCACAGCAGTCAGGCAACAGAAATAATAAAGGGCATCCAAATAGGAAGAGAGGAAGTCAAACTATCCTTGTTTGCAGACAGTATGATTCTATATCTAGAAAACCCCATAGCCTCAGCCCAAAAGGTCCTTCATCTGATAATTTCAGCAAAGTTTCAGGAGACAAAATCAGTGTACAAAAATCACTAACATTCCTATACACAGTCGCCAAGCCAAGAGCCAAATCAGGAGCACAATCCCATTCATAATTGCCACAAAAAAGAATAAAATACCCAGGAATGCAGCTAACCAAGGAAGTAAAGGATCTCTACAATGAGAATCACAAACGCTGCTCAAAGAAATCAGAGATGACACAAACAAATGGAAAAACTTTCCATGCTCATGGCTAGGAAGAATCAATATCATTAAAGTGGCCATACTACCCAAAGCAATTTATAGATTCAATGCTATTCCTATCAAACTATCAATTACATTTTTCACAGAACTAGAAAAAACTTAAAATTCATATGGAACCAAAAAGCCTGAGTAGTCAAGGCAATCCTAAACAAAAAGAACAAAGGTGGAGGCATCACATTACCTAACTTCAAACTACAGGGCTACCATGACCAAAACAGCATGGTACTGGTACAAAAGCAGACACACAGACCAGTGGGACAGAATAGAGAGCCCAAAAATAAGGCCACAAACCTACAGCCATCTGATCTTCAACAAAGTTGACAAAAACAAGCAATGGGGAAAGGTCTCCCTATTCAATAAATGGTGCTGGGATAACTGGCTGGCCATATGCAGAAGATCGTAACTGGACCCCTTTTACTATGTACAAAAATTAAGATGGTTTAAAGAGTTAAAACCCAAAATTATAAAAATCCTGAAGATAACTTAGGCAATACCATTCTGGACATAGGAACTGGCAAATATTTCATGATGAAGACACCAAAAGCAATTGTAACAAAAGCAAAAATGGACAAATTGGATTTAAGAGCTTTTTCATAGCAAAATAAACAACAGGGCAGACAATCTACCAAATGACAGAAAATTTTTGCAAACTATGCATCTGACAAGGGGCTAATATCTAGCATCTATAAGGAATTTAAACACAGTTACAGGAAAAAAAAAACCCACTCCATTAAAAAATGGGCAAAGGACATGAACAGACACTTTTCAAAAAAGACATACATACAGCCAACTAGCGTGTTAAAGAAAACCTCAATTATCACTGATCATTAGAGAAATGCAAAATCAAAACCATGATGAGATATCATCTGCCAGTCAGGATGGCTACAAAAAAGTAAAAAAATAATAGATGTTGGTGAGGTTATGGAGAAAAGGAACTTATACACTTGTTAGGAGTGTAAATTAGTTCAATCACTGTGGACAGCAGTGTGGTGATTCCTCAGAGAGCTAAAAACAACTACCATTTGACTCACCAATCCCATTACTGGATATTTACCTAAAGGAATATAAATCATTCCACCATAAAGACACATGCAAGTGTATGTTCATTGCAGCACTATTAACAGTAACAAAGCTGGGCACAGTGGCTCACCTCACGACTGTAATCCCAGCACTTTGGGAGGCTGAGGTAGGCGGATCACCTGAGGTTGGCAGTTTGAGACCAGCCTGACCAACATGGAGAGACCCCATCTCTACTAAAAATACAAAATTAGCCAGGTGTGGTGGCTCATGCCTGTAATCCCAGCTACTTGGGAGGCCAAGGCAGGAGAATTGCTTGAACCCAGGAGGCAGAGGTTGCAGTGAGCCGAGATCACACCATTGCACTCTAGCCTGGTGAAGGAGCAAGACTCCATCTCAAAAAAAAAAAAAAAAAAGAAAGAAAGAAAAATACACATTCAGAGGAGACAAAAAATAAAAAACAATGATGCATGCCCACAGGATCTAGAAAATAACTTCTTAAGGGCAAATCTAGGAGTTATTGGCCTTAAAGAAGAGATAGAGAAAGAGATAGGAATAGAAAGTTTGTTGAAAGGGATAATAACATAGAACTTCCTAAACCTACAGAAAGATATTTATATCCAAGTACAAGAAGGTTATAGAACACCAGGCCAATTTAACCCAAAGATTACCTCAAGGCATTTAATAATCAAACTCCCACAGGACAAGGGTAAAGAAAGGATCCTAAAAGCAGCAAGAGAAAAGAAACAGATAACATACAATGGAGCTCCAATACATCTGGCAGTATATTTTTCAGTGGAAACCTTACAAGCCAGGAGAGAGTGACATGACATATGTTAAAGTGCTGAAGGGAAAAAACCTTTTACCCTAGAATAGTATATCCAGCAAAAATATCCTTCAAACATGAAGAATAAACAAAGACTTCCCCAGACAAACAAAAGCTGAGGGATTTCATCAACACTAGACTGGTCCCATAAGAAACGCTTAAGGGAGTACTTTGGTCAGAAAGAAACAGACATTAATGAGCAACAAAGAATCATCTAAAGGTAAAAAACTCACTGTTAAGAGTAAGTACACAGAAAAACCCAAAGTGTGATAACATTGTAACTGTGGTGTGTAAGTAGAAAGAATAAATGATAAACCAATCAAAAATAGTAACTACAACTTTTCAAGACCAGTCAGAAAAATAAGATAAAATTAGAAACAACAAAAAGTTAAAAAGTGGGGGGATGAAGTTAAGATGTAGAGTTTTTATTAGTTTTTTGTTTGTTAATGCAAACAGTGTTACCAGGTTAAAATAATGGGTTACAAAATAGTATTTGTAATCCTTATGGTAACCTCAAACCTAAAAACATACACTGGATACATAAAAAATAAAAAGCAAAAACCTAAATCATATCACCAGAGCAAACTACCTTCCCTAAAGGAAGACAGGAAGAAAAGAAAGAAGAAGACCACAAAACAACCAGAAAACAAATAAATAACAAGGCAGGAGTAAGTCTTTACTTATCGATAATACATTGAATGGAAATATGGACTAAACTCTCCAATCAAAAGACATAGACTGGCTGAATGAATGGAGAAAACAAGACCCATTGATCTGTTGCCTACAAGAAACACACTTAAACTATAAAGACACACATAGGCTGAAAGTAAAGAGTTGGAAAGAGTTATTCCATGCCAATGGAAACCAGGAAAAAGAGAAGGAGTATTGATTTTGATACAAAAACTATGAGACAAATAAAGTCACTATACAATGATAAAGGGGTTAATATGGTTTCCATTTGTGCCCCACCCAAATTTCGTGTTCTATTGTAATCCTCAATGTTGGAGGTGGGGCCTGGTGGGACGTGATTAGATCATGGGGGTGGATCTTTCATGACTAATTCAGCACCATCTTCTTAGTGCTGTTCTCATGATAGTGAGTTCTTCTGAAATCTGGTTGCTTAAAAGTGTGTAGCACCTCTCCACACCACCCGCTTGCCTTGGTCTACTCCTGCTATGTAGATGCTTGCTCCCACTTTGCATTATACCATGAGTAAAAGCTCCCTCAGGCCTTCCCAGAATCAGATGCCGCTATGCTTCCTGAACAGCCTGTGGAACTATGAGCCAATTCAACCTCTTTTCTTCATAAATTAACAAGTCTTGGGTATTTCTTTATAGCAGTGTGAGAACAGAATAATACAGAAAATTGGTAAAGAGGAGTGAGGCATTGCTAGAAAGATACCTGAAAATGTGGAAACAGCAGTGGAACTGGGAAATAGACAGAGGTTGGAAGAGTGTGGAGGGCTCCGAAGATAGGAAGATGAGGGGAAGTTTGGAATTTCTTAGAGATTTGTTAAATTGTTTTGACCAAAATACTGATAGTGATATGGACAATGAAGTCCAGGCTGAGGAGGTCTCAGATGGAGATGAGGGACTTATTGGGACCTGGAGTGAAGGTCACTTTTGTTAGGACATTGTGGTTGGAGACATTGTGCCCCTGCCCTAGGAATCTGTGGAACTTTGAACTTGAGAGCGAAGATTTAGGGTATCTGGCAGAAGAAATTTCTAAGCAGCAAAGCGTTCAAGACGTGGCCTGGCTGCTTCTGGTAGTCTGTGCTCATATTTGTGAGCAAAGACATGACAAGAAACTGGAACTTATATTTAAAAAGGAAGCAGAGTGTAAAAGTTTGGAGAATTTGCAGCCTGGCCATGTTGTAGAAAAGAAAAAAACCATTTTCTGGAGAGGAATTCAAGCTAGCTGCAGAAAATTGCAAGTAACAAGGAGCAAAATGTTGATAGCCAAGATAGTGGGAAAAACACCTTGAAGGCATTTCAGATACCTTGGGGGCAGCCTCTCCCATCACAGGCCCAAAGGCCTAGGAGGGAAGGATGGTTTCCTGGGCCAGGCTCAGGGTCCTGCTGCCCTGCACAACCTCAGGAAACTGCTCTCCAAATCCCAGCTGCTCCAGCTCCAGCTTCAGCTCAAAGGGCCCCAGGTATAGCTCAGGCTGCTGCTCCATAGGATGCAAGTTATAAGCCTTAGTGGCTCCCGTGTGGTGTTAAATTAAGCCTGTAGGTGCACAGAGTGCAAGAATTGAGGCTTGGGAGCCTCCAACTAGATTTCAGAGTATGTGTGGGAAAGCCTGGATGTCCAGGCAGAAGCCAGCTGCAGGGACAGAGCCCTCATGGAGAACCTCTACTAGGGTAGTGTGGAGGGGAAATTTGGGGTTGGAGTTCCCACACAGCTTCCCCTCTGGTGTACTGCCTAGTGGAGCTGTGAGAAGACAGCCACTGTCCTCCAGATTCCAGGATGATAGATCTGCCAATGACAGCTTGCACTGTACAACTGGAAAAGCCACAGGCAGTCAATGCCAGCCCGTGAAAGCAGTGACAGTGGCTTACCCTGCAAAGTCCCAGGGGCTGAGCTGCCCAAGGCCTTGGGAGCCCACCCCTTGCACCAGTGTGCCCTGGATGTGAGATATGGAGTCAAAGGAGAGTATTTTGGAGCTTTAAGATTTAATGACTACCTGCTGGGTTTCAGACTTGCATGGGTCCAGTAGCCCCTTTCTTTTGGCCAATTTCTCACTTTTGGAATGGGAGTGTTTACCCAATTCCTGTACCCCCACTGTATGTTGGAAGTAACTAACTGTTTTTTTATTTTGTAAGCTCACAGGTGGGAGAGACTTGCCTTGTCTCAGGTTGAGACTCTGGACTTTGGACTTTTGAATTAATGCTGGAATGAGTTAAGACTTTGAGGGACTGTTGGGAAGATATAACTGTATTTTGCAGTATGAGAAGGACATGAGATTTGGGAGACACCAGAGGTGGAATAATATGATTTGGATCTGCATCCCCACCAAAATCTCATGTTCAATTGTAATCCTAAATTTTGGAGGTTGAGCCTGGTGGAAGAGGATTGGATAATGGGGGTGGTTTCTCATGGTTTAACACCATCCCCCTGGGTGCTGTTCTCATGACAGTGAGTGAGTTATTGTGAGATCTGATTGTTTAAAAGTGTGTGCCACCTCCTCCCACTTTCCTCCTGCTCCAGCCATGTAAGACAGGCTTGCCTCCCCTTCACCTTTTGTCATGATTGTAAGTGTTCTGAGGCCTCCCCAGCCATGCTTCCTGTACAGCCTGCAGAACTGTGAGCCAATTAAACCTCTTTTCTCTATATATTACCCAGTCTCGGGTATTTCTTTATAGCAGTGCAAGAATAGACTAATACAGGGTTCAATTCAGCAAGAGGATATAACAAATATAAATATATATGCACTCAACACTGCAGCACCCAGATATATAAAGCAAATACGATTAGAGCTAAAGAGAGAGAGTGACCCCAATACAATAATAGCTGGAGACTTCAACACCACATTTTCAGCACTGGACAGATCTTCCAGACAGAAAATAAAAAAGAAACATCAGACTTAATCTGCACTGTAGATCAAATGGATCTAATACATACTTGCAGAACATTTTATCCAATGGCTGCAGAATACACATTCTTTTTTAGCACATGTATCATTCTCAAGGATAGACCATATGTTAGGTCACAAGTCTTAAAACATTAAAAAAGTTGAATACCATCAAGCATCTTCTCTGACCACAGTGGAATACAACTAGAAACTAATAACAAGAGGAATTTTTGAAACTACAAATACATGAAAATTAAACAATATGCTCCTGAATGACCATTGAGTCAATGAAGAAATTAAGAAGGAAATTGAACAATTTCTTGAAACAAATGATAAAGGAAACACAACATACCAAAACCTATGGGATACGGCAAAAGCAGTACTAAGAGGCAAATTGATAGCTATAAGTGCCTACATGAAAAAAGAGGAAAAACTTCAAATAAGCAATTTAACAATGAACCTTAACCAGAAAAGCAAGAGCAAAACAAACACAAAATTAGAAGAAAACAAATAATAAAAATTAGAGCATAAATAAATAAAATTGAAATAAAAATCAATGCAAAAGAACAATGAAACAAAAAGTTGCTTTTTTTCAAAAGTTAAACAAAACTGACAAGCCTTTAGCAAGACTGAGAAAAAAGAGACAAGATACAAATCAGAAATGAAAAAGACATTACAACTGACACTGCAGAAATTCAAAGGATCATTAGGGGCTACTATGAGCAACTCTATGCCAATAAATTGGAAAATCTAGAAGAAATTGACAATTCCTAGACACATACAACCTACTGAGACTGGACCAGGAAGAAATCCAAAACCTGAACAGACTAATAACAAGTAACAAGGTTGAAGCCATAATAAAAAGTCTCCCACTAAAGAAAACCAAGGACCCGATGGCTTCACTGTTGAATTCTACCAAACATTTAAAGAAGAACTAATACCAATCCCACTCAAGCTATTGAAAAATAGAGGAGGAGAGAATATTTCCAAAGTCATTCTAGGAGACCAGTATCACCCTGATACCAAAACCAGACAAAGACACATCAAAAAAAGAAAACTGCTGGCCAATTTCTCTGATGAATATTGATGCCAGAATCCTCAGCAAAATATTAGCAAACTAAATTCAACAATACATTAAAAAGATCATTCATCAGGGTCGGGTGCAGTGGCTTAAGCCTCTAATCCCAGCACTTTGGGAGGCCGAGGTGGGCAGATCACCTGAGGTCAGGAGTTCAAGACCAGCCTGACCAACATGGTGAAACCTCGTCTCTACTGAAAATACAAAATTAGCCGAGTGTGGTGGTGCATGCCTGTAATCCCAGCTACTCAGGAGACTGAGGCAGGAGAATCACTTGAACCCAGGAGGTGGAGGTTGCAGTGAGCTGAGATTGTGGCACTGCACTCCAGCCTTGGTGACAGAGTGAGACTCCATTAAAAAAAAAATCATTTATCATGACCAAGTGGGATTTATCCCTGGAATGCAAGGATGGTTCAACACATGCAAATCAATCAATGTAATACATCATATCAAAAAGAATGATTAAAACCATATGATTATTTCTATTGATGCTGAAAAAGTAGTTTATAAAATCCAACATCCCTTCATGATAAAAACCCTCAAAAAACTGTATAAAAGAAATATACCTCAACGTAATAGCCAGATATGACAGACCCACAGCTAGTATCATACTGAATGGGGAAAAAGTGAAAGACTTTCCTATAAGATCTGGAACACAACAGGGATGTTCACTGTCACCACTGTTATTCAACAAAGTACTGGATGTTCTAGCTAGAGCGATCAGACAAGAGAAGATATAAAGGCCATCCAAACTGGAAAGGGAGAAGTTAAATTACCCTAGTTTGCAGATGATATGAACTTATATTTGGAAAAAACCTAAAGGCTCCACAGGAAAACTATTAGAATCAATAAATTCAGTAAAGTTGCAGGACACAAAATCAACATATAAAAACCAGTAGCATTTCTATATGTCAACAGTGAACAATTTGAAAAATTTTAAATTTAAGAAGGTAATTTCATTTACAATAGCCACACATAAAATTAAATACCTAGGAATTAACCAAAAATGTGCAAGATATCTATGAGGAGAATTATAAAACATTGATGAAAGAAATTGAAGAGGACACAAAAAAAATGGAAAAAATTCCATCTTTATGGATTGGAAGAATCAATATTGTTAAAATGTCCATACTACCCAAAGCAATCTACAGATTTAATGCAATCCCTATCAAAATACCAATAATAGTCTTCAGAGAAATAGAAAAAAAAATCCCAAAATTTATATGAAAACACAGAATGCCCAGAATAGCCAAAATTATATTAAGCAAAAAGATCAAAACTGGAGGAATCACATTACCTGACTTCAAATTATGCTACAGAGCTATAATCACCAAAACAGCATGGTACTGACATAAAAACAGACACATAGTCCAACAGAACAGAATAGAGAACCTAGAAACAAATCCACACACTCACAGGGAACTCATTTTTGACAGAGTTGCCAAGTACTTATACTGGAGAAAAGAAAAGACAGTCTCTTCAATGAAATGGTGCTGGGAAAACTGGATATCCATATGCAGAAGAATGAAACTAGACCCCTACCTCTCACTGTAGACAAAAGTCAAATCAAGGCTAGGCATGGTGGCTTACACCTGTAATCTCAGCACTTTGGGAGGCTGAGGCAGGCGTATCACGAGGTGAAGAGATTGAGACCATCCTGACCAACATGGTGAAACTCACCCCCCCCCACCCACTAAAAATACAAAAATTAGCTGGGCGTGATGGCATGTGCCTGCAGTCCTAGCTACTCAGGAGGCTGGGGCAGGAGAATCGCTTGAACCCAGGAGGTGGAGGTTGCAGTGAGCTGAGATTGTGCCACTGCACTCCAGCCTGGCGACAGAGCAAGACTCCATCTCAAAAAATAAAAAATAAATTCAAAATGTAATAAAGACTTAAATCTAAGACCTCAAACATGAAACTACTATAAGAAAACATTGGGGAAAACCTCCAGGACAGTAGTCTGGCCAAAAATTTCTTGAGCAATACCCCACAAGCACAGGCAACCAAAATAAAACTGGACAAATAGTATCACATCAAGTTTAAAAGCTTCTACAAAGCAAAGGATACAATCAATAAAGAGACAACCCACAGAATGGGAGAAAATATTTGCAAACTACCCATCTGACAAAGAAATAATAACCAGAGTATATAAGAAGCTCAAACAACTCTATAGTAAAAAAAAAAAAAAAAAAATTCTAAAAGTCTAAGTAAAAAAATGGGCAAAAGATTTGAATAGACATTTCTCAAAAGAAGACATACAGGCCATGCGTGGTGGCTCATGCCTGTAATCCCAGCACTTTGGGAGGCCCAGGCGGGTGGATCACTTGAGGTCAGGAGTTCGAGACCAGCCTGACCAACATTGTGAAACTCCGTCTCTACTAAAAATACAAAAATAAGCCAGGCATGGTGGCGCACACCTGTAATCCCAGCTACTCAGGAGGCTGAGGCAGGAGAATCGCTTAAACCTGGGAGACAGAGGTTGCAGTAAGCCGAGATCACACCACTGCACTCCAGCCTGGGCAACAAAGTGAGACTCCGTCTCACAAAAAAAAAAAAAAAAAAAAAAAAAAAAAAAAAAAAAGAAAAGAAAAAGGAAGAAGACATACAAAGCCAGGTACAGTGGCTTATGCCTCTAATCCTAGCACTTTAGGAGGCCAAGGCAGATGGAATTGAGCCCAGAAGTTTGAGACCAGACTGAGCAATATGGTCAAACCCCAATTCTGCAAAATACAAAAATAAAAAATAGCTGGGAGTGGTGGTGCACACCTGTAGTCCCAGCTACTTAGGAAGCTGAGATGGGAGGATCACTTGAGCCTGCAGTGAATCATAATTGCACCAATGCACTCCAGCCTGGGCGACAGAGTGAGAGACATTGTCTCAAAAAAAAGAAAAAGAAAAAAAAGAAAGGACATAAAAATGACAAACAGGCATATGAAAAGGTGCTGATGATTATTGATCCTCAGAGAAATGCAAATCAAAACTGCAATGAGATATAATCTCACCCCAGTTAAAATGGCTTATATCCAAAAGACAGGCAATAACAAATGCTGGTGAGGATGTGGATAAAAGGGAACCCTCGTACACTGTTGATGGGAATGTAAATTAGTACAACCACTATGGATAACAGTTTAGAGGTTCCTCAGAAAACTAAAAATTGAGTTGCGATATGATGCAACAATCCTACTGCTGGGTATATACCCCACAAAAGACAAAACCAGCGTTTTGCATGGTGGCTCACACCTGTAATCCCAGCACTATGGGAGGCCGAGGAGGGCAGATCACTTGAGCCCAGAAGTTCAAGACCAGCCCGAGCAACATGGCAAAACCTGATTTCTACAAAATACAAAAAAAAAATTAGGCAGTTGTAGTGGTTCACACCTATAGTCCTAGCTACTGTGGAGGCTGAGGTAGGATCACTTGAACCTAGGAGGTGGAGGTTGCAGTGAGCCAAGATCATGCCACTGCACTCCAGCCTGGGTGACAAAGTGTGACCCTGTCTCAAAAAAGAAAATCAGTATATGGAAGAGATATCTGCACTCCTATGTTTTTTACAACACTGTTTACAATAGCTAAGATTTGGAAGCAACCTAAATGTCTAACAGCAGATGAATGGATAAGGAAAATTTGGTATGTATACACAATGAAGTACTATTCAGCCATAAAAAGGAATGAGATCCAGTCATTTGCAACAGCATGGATGGAAGTGGAGATCATTATGTTAAATGAAATAAGCCAGGCACAGAAAGGCAAACATGGCATGTTCTCACTTATTTGTGGGACCTAAATTCAAAACAATTGAACTAATGGACATAAAGAGTAGAAGAATGGTTACCAGAGGCTAGGAATGGTAGTGGGGGGCTGAAGGGAAGGTGGGGATGTTTAATCGGTAAAAAAAAATTTAGAAGAATAAGACCTACTATTTGATAGCACAATAGGGGGACTATAGTCAATAATGCACATTTAAAAATAGTGTAATTGAATGGTTTGTAACTCAAAGGATAAATGCTTGAGGGAATGGATACCCCATTCTCCATGATGTGCTTATTTCACATTGCATACCTGTATCAAAACATCTCATGTACCCCATAAATATATGCAGCTATTATGTACCCACAAAAATTGAAAATCAAAAATAAAATATTTTTTAAAATGTATTATTATTTGTCCTCTGTGAATAAAACTCGCTTCTGGCCCTCCTTTTTATAGGTATTTAAAAGAATGCATTTAGGCAGATCAATGGCATTATATAATATACAAAAACAATAAATCTTTTTTTTTAAACATATCACATTCAGCACAGCTGCTGAAGTTGGGGCTAATTATAGGTTACATTTTCATTAATCCACTGTCATCTGTTATCATCCATCCAATTTTTGCTAGAACTGGAGTGGTAAATTCAATAGTTGATGATGAAACCACAACCCCTGCATCTTTTATGTCTTTGAGTGACAGTTTATTTCATTGCCCCTCAAATACTACATTGTTTTAAAATTTCTATCTTGGTCGATATTAGAAGCTCTCTTAGGGGCATCCACTTGGCCTTTCTTACTACAAATCCTTTATTCCACAGGTGAAATGACTAAAGTGTGAGTGAAATAACTAATGTACAAAATAAATCCATCAATTACATATTTGGAAACCAGAAAAATAACCACCAAGCAGATGTGTGGACACAGAGAATCCACGGAGATACGGGTGGACCTGAGACAGGAAATTATTTTCAGTTCCCTGTGTGGCTCTCCTCTAATAGAAGTCCATGAGGGTGCTTTGGTTCCCCAGGTATCAGTGTGAAATTGGACCCTGTATCCAATAGACCTGAAAATATCTGGACATTCCCCTTTATCAGTGTCTTGATACCTGAGTAAATGGCCATTGATCCCTTTAGGGAAGGGTGTAGAAAGTGTCTACTGTACACACTTATGGTGTTGCAGATACTTCATCAGGGGACGTGACTCTCCTTCAATGAATGGATTCTGGATCTAAGCACTGGCTCAGGTCTGGAAACTGGGCAAGGGATTTTAAACTTCTATTGGAGAAATTAATCTCAGACTTCAGCTCATCTATTTTTCATCTATTGATTCTAATATTAAACAACAGTCTTATAGGCTGCCCAACTAGAAACACCATAGTCTTAATAATTTCCCTAAATCCCTTGCAGTCAGGATTTCCTGGCTTCCATTCTAACATTACTCACTATTTTGGGGATTTTGTCCATTTTGATTCTGCCTTGCTGCCAGCTGGCCTCTAGCTTTCTGGAATCCTACTGTCCTATTGTTGCTAGGGCACCAAGTTCTCCAATATCATCTCATAGAGTCAGCTCCAGCCCACAAAGGACAAAATTAGGTTAATACCCCGTTCACCTGCCCATGACTTGCTGCCTGATAAACAGAGTTTCCTTTGGGCCCTTCCAAATAAACAGTCACCCAGTGCATGATCCAGTTTTATAGAGTGTATCTATCTATGCCAGCATGCTCACTGCTCTGAGCCTTTTGGTCTCTTTCTCCACAATCTGCCATGGCAGCTCTGGCACATCGATTTTATTTCATGTGAGCCATCATTTTTCATTAGAACAGTTTCATTAAGATAAAATTCATATATTATTCAACCATTTAAACTCAATGGTTTTTAGCATATTTATAGTGCAACCATCACCACAATCAATTGTAGAACATGTTCATCACTCCAAAACTATTTTTAGAACATTTTCATCACCCATGTATATTTATTCTCAGGCAGTCATCCCCATTTTTCCCTCCAACATTTCCTCAGTCCTAGGCAACCACTAATCTACTTTCTCTCTACAAATTTATTTCTTATAGACATTTCATATAAATGAAATAATATAATGGATGGTCTTTTGTGACTGGCGTCTTTCACATAGCATAATGTTTTCAAGGTTCATCCACATTGCAGCATTTATTAGTACTGCATTTCTTTTTATGGCCAAATATTCCGTTCCATAGATTGACCATATCTTATTCATTCATTTGTTCCTGGGCATCTGTATTGTTTCCACTCTTCAGCCATTGAGAATAATGCTGCTTGACCATTATGTACAAATTTTTGCATGGACATGTTTTCATTTCTCTTGGGTATATACCTGGGAATGGAATTGCTGGGTCAAATACTCATTCTACATTCAAACTTTGAGGAACTGCCAAGCTATTCTTTAAGAGGCTGCACCATTTTACATTCTTACCAGCAGTGTGCAAGAATTCCAATTTCTCCACATCCTCACCACTGCTTATTGATATCTGTCTTATTTATTCTAGCTATTCCAGTGACCGTGCAGGGGTATATCACTGTGCTTTTAATTTGCATTTCCCTGATGATTAATAGTGCCAAGCATCTTTTCATATTCTTATTAGCCATCTTTCTATCTCCTGTGGAGAAGTATCTATTCAGCCCTTTGTTCATTTTTTACTTGTATTATTTGTCTTTTAATTTTTGACTTGTAAGAGTTTGTGTGTTCTATATACTAATTCTTTCTCACATATAAGATTTATATATACTTTCTCCTAGCCTGAGGGTGGTATTTTTACTTTTTTGATTGTATTCTTTGGAACACAGAGTTTTAAACTTTGTTGAGATAGAATTTATCTGTTTGGTTTATTGTTACTTGTGTTTTGGTGTCATATTTAAAAAACACTGCTTAATCCGAGGTCATGAAGGTTTTTGCATACATTTTTGTTTGTAAGTTTTATAGTTTTAGCACTAACATTTAGGTCTTTGGTCCATGTTAAGTCATTTATGTATATGATATGAGGTAGGGTCAAACTTCATTCTTTTGCAGGTGGATATACAGTTACATCAGCACAATTTTTTTTAACCATTGGCCATTTCATATTTAAAAAACATTTAATTGACAAAGTTGTGCATGGCATACATCATGATAATTTAATACACATATACATTGTATGATTATTATTGCAACCAAATTAACAAATCCATTACTGCCCATACTGAACATTAGATTTCTAGAACTTGTTCATTATATAACTGAGAATTTGCACCCTTTGACCAACATCTCCCCATTTCTCCCACTCAAGCCCCTGGTAACCACCGTTCTACCTCTGTTTCTAGGAGTTTCACTTGTTTTAGATTGCAAATATGAGGTTATATAATATTTGTCTTTCTGTGTCTGGCTTATTTCATTTAATATAATATCCTCCAGGTTCATCCATGTTGTTGCAAATGTCAGTACTTCCTTTTTCTGTGGCTATTATTCCATTTTGTGTGTGTGTGTATACATACACACCATATTGCTATGGTTTGAATTTTTGTCCCCTCCAAAACCCATGTTGTTTCAACCCATTTATATTTCAACATGGGTTGAAGTATATATATATTTGTAGAGATGGGGTCTCACTATGTTGCCCAGGCTGGTCTTGAACTCCTGGACTCAAGCAGTCCTCCCACCTCAGCCTCCCAAAGTGCTGGGATTACAGGAGTGAGCCACTGCACCCAGCTGCATATTGAAATTTAATTGCTATTGTAACATTATTAGGAGGTGAGACTTTTGAGAGGTGATTGGACCATGAGGGTTCCACCCTTGGGGGTGGTTTTAATGCCTTTATAAAAGGGCTTCCAGGAGTGTGTTCTCTGTACTTTACTTGCCCTTCTACCTTCAGCCATGTGATGATGCAGCAAGATGGCTCTCACCATTAGCCAGTGCCTTGATCTTGGATTCATAGCCTCCTGAACCGAGAGAAAATACATTTCTATTTGTTATAGATTACCCAGTCTGTGATATTGTGTTATAGCAGCATAAAATAGAGTAAAACATATGTTTAATCCATTCATCAGTTGACAGACATTCAGGTTATTTCCAGGAAATAATGCTGTGATAAACATATGGGTGCAAATATTTCTTTGAGATACTGATTTCATTTTCCTTGGATACATGCCCAGAAGTAAAACTGCTGGATCATATACTGGTAGTTCTGTTTTTAATTTTTTTAAGGAAAGATCGTTTTAATTTTTTGAGGAAAAACCATACTGTTTTCCATAATGCTTATACCAATTTACATTCCCACCAACCATGTATAAGGATTCCCTTTCCTCTACACCCTCATTAACACTTATTACCTCTTATCTTTTTGATAATAACTATTCTGACAGGTGTGAGGTAACACTTCATTGCAATTTTGATTTGCATTTTTCTGATTAGTTACGTTCAGCACCATCTCATATACCTGTTGGTCATTTGTATGTCTTCTTTGGAAAGATGTCTATTCAGGTCCTTTGTCCATTTTTGAATTAGGTTATTTGTTTTATTGCTATTGAGTTGTGTATAATTTCTCGAAAAGATTTTTCTTTCCCCCACTGAATTGCCTTGGCAGTATTTTTGAAATTTAATTGACCATAATTATAAACTTTTATTTCTAGCCTCTCTATTCTATTGATCTGTATGTCTATCCTTATGTCAGTATCACTCTGTATTGATTATTGCAGCTTTGTAGTAACTTTTGCCATGAGCAAGTATAGTTCCTCAAACTCTGTTCTTTGTCAAAAGTTTTGTAACTTTTGTAGTTCACTGAATTTCCATATAAATTTTAATATCATCTTGTCAGTTTCTGCAAAGCAGTCAGCTGGGATTTTGATAGAACTGCATTGAATTTGTAGACCAATTTTGATATACTGCCATCTTAATAATATTGTCTTCTGATCCATAAAAATAGAACATCTTTTTATTTATTTAGTTCTTTGATTTCTGTAAAAATATTGTCGGTTTTTTTGTAGTATAAATTTCGTACTTCTTTTATTACATTTATTTCTAAGTATTTTATTTTTCCCTAGCTTTATTGAAGCATAATTGACAAACAAGAATTATATACATTCAAGTTGTACAACATGATTTTTAAAATGCATATATATTGTGAAATGATTACCACAATCAAGCTAATTAACATATCTATGACACATAGTTAATATTTTTGTGTGTGGTGAGAATACTTAAGATCTATTCTCTTAGTAAATTTCAAGTATACCAATAGTTGCCATCCTGTTGTAAGCCCAAATCACTTTGGCTTAGTGATTTTGGGGACCTGAGATTATTTTTCCTTTCACACTGTACATTAGGTTTCCAGAACTTATTCACCCTATAACTGCAAGTTGGTAAACTTTTACCAACATCTCCCCATTTCCCCTAACCATGACTCCTAGTAACCCCTAAAAAAAAAAAAAAAAAAAAAAAAAAATTCCATCAACTTTAGACAAACTAAATTTAGAAGAGTTTATTTAAGCAAAAAATAATTTACAAATTTGGCAGCACTCAGAACCAGGAGAGGGTCAGAAAGCTCCACCCAGGAGTGTGCACAGCAAGCCTTTATGTGCCAGACACAGAAGAAGAAAAATCACCTGATTGGCTACAGCTAGGCATTTGCCTTATTTGGGCATGGTGTGATGAGCTGGCTGCTTGTGATTGGGTGAACCCCAGCTAACAGTTATACTCCTAACTTAGGTTTTGATTTGTTTACCTACTTACTTAGGTACACAGGCAGCCTCAGGTCAAAGTTAAGTTAATTCAACTGACTGTTTCTACCTCTGTTTCTCTGAATTCCACTTTATAGATTACACATATAAATGAGATCATACAGTATTTTTATTTCTGTGTTTGTCTTATTTCACTTAGCATAATGTCCTTCAGATTTATCCATGTTGTTACAAATGGCAGTATTTCCTTCCTTTTCATGTCTGAATAATATTCGTGTGTGTGTGTATGTGTGTGTATCACAATGTCTTTATTCATCCATTAATCAATAAACACTTACTTTGTTTCTATATCTTGGCCATTGTGAATAGTGCTGCAATTAATATGGGGGTACAGAAATTTCTTTACTGATTTCATTTTTTATATATGCCCAGAAGTAGGATTACTGTATCATATGGTAGTTATGTTTTTAATTTTTTGAAGAACATCTATATTGTATTCCATTATGCTTTTACCAATTCACATTCCTACCAACCATGTATAAGGGTTCCCTTTCTCTACAGTTTACCAACACTGATTATCTCTTGTCTTTTTGTTAATGGCTATTCTTACTGATGTAAGGTGATATGTCAATGCAGTTTTGATTTGCAGCTCTCTGATGATTAATGATGTTGAGCACCTTTTCATATACTTCTTGGTCATTTGTATGTCTTTTTTGAAAAATGTCTATTCGGGTCTTTTGCCCATATTTGAACTGGGTTATCTGTTTTTTGCTATTAAGTTCTATGGAGTCTATAGACTTTACATATTAACCCATTAGTGAATATAAGGTTTGCAAATATTTTCTCTCATTCTGTGGTTTGCCTTTTCATTTTGTTTATTGTTGTGTTGCTGTGCAAAAACTTTAATGTAGTCTCACTTGTTTAATTTTGCTTTTTTGGCATATGTTTTTGAGGTAATACCCCCAAAAAAATCATTGCCAAGGCCAATGTCTCGGAGCTTTTCACCTGCTTTCTTCTCCAAGTTTTGTGGTTTCAGGTCTTACATTTACATCTTTAATCTATTCGGAGTTGATTTTGCATATGGTGTAAGATCGGGATGCAGTTTTATTTTTTTCCATGTGGATATCCAGTTTTTCCATCACTATATATGTAGGAGAGTATCCTTTCCCTATTATATATTATTGACACCTTTTCAAAGATTAGTTAATTGTATATGCATGGATTTATTTCTGAGCTTTCTGTTCTATTCCATTATTCTATGTGCTGTTTTTATGCCAGTACCATACTGTTTTCATTAATATAGCTTTGTAGTATCATGTTAAATCAGGAAGTGTGATGCCTCCAGCTTTGTTCTTGTTGAAGATTGCTTTAGCTATTGCAGTTCTTTTGTGGTTCCATACGACTTTTGAGATTGTCTAATTCAGTTAAAAATCCCATTGGAATTTTGATAGGGGTTACATTAAATCTGTTGATTGCTTTGGGTAGTATGGACATTTTCGCAATATGATTCTTCTGATCCAAGAACAAGGATATCTTTCCAATTATTTGTGGCTTCTTCAATTTTTTTTGTCACTGTTATGGCTTTCAGTGTGCAGATCTTTCAGCTCCTTGATCAAATTTATTCCTAATTTATTCTTTTTGATACTGTTATAACTGAGATTATTTTCTTGATTTCTTTTTCAGACAGTTTTTGGTAAGTATATAAAAGTACCACTAATTTTTGTATGCTGATTTTGTATGCTGCAACTTCACTGATTTTTTTTTTCAGTGCCAGTAGTATTTTGGTGGAGTGTTTGGGGTTTCCATATATAAGATCTTGTGATCTACAAACAGAGGCAATTTGACTTCTTTTTTTCCAGTTTAGATCCCTTTTCTTTTTCTTCCCTAATTACTCTGCCTAGAATTATCAGTACAATGTTGAATAGATGTGGCCAGAGTGGGCATCATTGTCTTGTTCCTGATCTTACAGGAAAAGTATGCAACTTTCGCCATTGAGTATGATGTTAGTTGTGAGTTTGTCATAGCCTTTATCCTGGTAAGATACATTCCTTCTATATCTAAGCCTCCCAAAGTGCTAGGATTATAGGCTTGAGCCACTGCACCTGGCCCAGAAAGTTTCTATTTCTATGTCTTCAAAGTCACTGTTTAATCTACAGCATAAAGTTTACCATTAATCTCACCTCACATCCAGTGTATTTTATGTCTGACATTTTCATCTTTGGAAGTTTGATTTTGATGTTTTATGTATCTTTCATGTCTCTGTGTAACTTTTTGAACATATGGAATACATTTACAATAACCGTTTTATGTTATTGCCTGCTAATTCTGACATCTATGTCAGTTCTAGGTAACTTTAGACTGATGGTTTTCTCTGCCTTCTGAGTTGTATTTTCTTGTTTTTATTATATGCCTGGTGATTGTTTTTATTTAATGCCAGACATGACTTTACCAGGTTAGGTGCCAGATATTTTTGCATTCTATAAGTATTCATGAGCTTTATTATTATTATTATTATTTTGAGACAGAGTTTCCCTCTTGTTGCCTGGAGTGCAATGGTGAGAACTTGGCTCACTGCAACCTCTGCCTCCTGGGTTCAAGCAATTCTCCTGTCTCAGCCTCCCGAGTAGCTGGGATTATAGGCATGCGCCACCATGCCCAGCTAATTTTGTATTTTTAGTAGAGACGGGATTTCTCCATGTTGGTCAGGCTGGTCTCGAACTCCCAACCTCAGGTGATCTGCCCACCTTGGCCTCCCAAAGTGCTAGGATTACAGGCATGAGCCACCGTGCCCGGCTGAGCTTTTTATTTTTACTGGGACAAATTAAGTTATTCAGGAGCTGTTTGATCATTTTAAGTCTTTTAATATCTTTTAGCAAAAAAACAAAAAGTGTTTAGTCCAGGGCTAATTATTTACCACTGCTGACATAAGACCCTTCAGAATACTCTATCCAATGCTCAGCAAATTATGAGGTTTTCCAGTCTGGCTAGTGGGAACAGGCATTATTTCCAGCCCTGTATATCACTGGGTACTATTCTCTGAAGTCCTTTCGGATAATTCTTTCCCTGTCTTTGGGTAGTTCCCTTATATAATATGCTGATTAACTGAAAATTTGAGGGGTACCTCCTGCAGACTTACAGTGCTTTTTATCATCAGCTGTCTTTTCTATGTGCCTTCATCTTTGCATATTCTGGATGTCCTGGAATCTCCAAGTTCACAACTCTGTCCCCTCACCTCAGTGAACCTCCTGGTTAGGGCTCTGCCTCTCTGCACTCTGCCTTGGAAACTCTGTCCAGGAAGGAAGCTGGACAACTGTAGACCTTACCTTTTCCATTCCCCTTCTCCCAGAGATCACAGTCTCTGGGATACCTGCTGTCTAGTATCTGAGTACATAGCTATTTTTTCATATATTATTTTGAGTTTGTTGTGCTTAAGGCATGAGAGTAAATCTGGTCCTTGTTATTCCATCATAATCCAAAGCAAAAGTCAATAGATCATGACTTTTCAATTTTTAATTCAACTAAGTTAAAAATTTTAAAATCAAAGTTAATTTTACTTCCTAAAAACTAACTTTAGTTCTTTTGAAAAACAGGTCATTTTTAGGTTAATACATTCTGTAGGCATTTTCAAGCTTGTCATTATTATTATTATTATTATTATTATTATTATTTTGATACAGAGTTTTGATCTTGTTGCCCAGGCTGGAGTGCAGTGGCACAATCTCGGCTTACCACAATGCCCACTTCCCAGTTTCAAGTGATTCACCTGCCTCAGCCTCCCATGTAGCGGGGATTACAGGCATGTGCCACCACGCCCAGCTAATTTTCTATTTTTAGTAGAGACGGGGTTTTTCTATGTTGGTCAGGCTGGTCTCAAACTCCCAGCCTCAGGTGATCCGCCTGCCTCAGCCTCCCAAAGTGCTGGGATAACAGGCATGAGCCACCGTGCCCAGCTCATAATTATTTTAAATGTAATACTAGTTACGTTATTTTGTTTCATAATTCAAATATTGAAGCTTTATGAGCCTCTTATCTATTGTTTCCACTGGTTCTCAATCAGACTGACTTTTCTCCACTTGTACTTTATACAGTTCATGCTCTGAGCAGCTTTTTCCTTGTAGAATTATTTGGGCAAATTCTTTGACATATGGGTTAAATATGCATTCCTATAAAGATTTTTGTTTCCTTCTTCCAATTTTTGGATCATCGCTAATCCAGGACAATTATTAATCAAAATCATGCTTTGAGGTTATTTTGGCCCAAAACGGTAAAGCTAGTTTGGGCAACAAATCTGCAGGAGTGCTGGCTGGTGGTTGTAAATTCTCAAAAACAGGTTTTGCTGACTCAAAGGCAAATTTCTTTAGAATACTCTTGTGCTGGGGGATGAAACAGATTTTCTTTTCTTACTCTGAGGAAACACATCTTTTGTTTCCCATATTTCATGGGGTACACAAAAGTGTCTCCTCTTATACTCCCTATACAAACAAGTTCTGAGAATTACCTCCTTTGCACTATACCATATGAAGCTGAGAAAACCAAAGCTAAGATTTTTCCAGATTTGGCAAACGCCCTCAAGATAAAAGCAACTTCCCTTTTTCTAAATCCTGCCCACATTTATATTTTGACCAAAAAGATTATTCCCTTTTTTATATTTCTATACTTTTGGGTGATTTTCACATTTCATCTCTTTTTTAGTTGTTTTTGGTAGAAGAGGCAGCTTTAAAACCTAGTTCACCCTATTACCGGAAATGGAATCCCCATTCGCTACTGATTAATTCCTGCCATTAATCTGACACCGAGGTAGATGCTGGAATACAAGTACATCTAGACCAATGCTACTCTCAAAGTGCAGTCTGTGGGCTAGCACTGGTCTGTGGACTGTTTGTTAGCAGCCCACAATACTATACATATAGAAATTGTGAGTGAACTATGCAAGTAAACCTCTACTTTATCTCATCCCAGACTAGTAACAGTCAAGCAAAAGATGAGCATTTATACCATGTCACTGGGTCTTCTAAAAACAGTATGGTTATCAGCTGTTCATACAATAGTTTGAGTAAAATGGCATCTAAATTAGGATGGTTTTTTAGGCTTCTGTGAGCAGTCACATTAAAACTGGTGAATGTATAGATAACTCTCCCTAGGAGCATGTGCAGATAGAACAAAATATTAAAAATTTATATAAAATGTCAGTGTATACATGGATCCTCTGATGTCTTACAGATACGGGTTTTTAATCCTAGCAAGAGACAAAGATAGGGAAAAAGGCTTTCAAGTAAACATTTTACCATCACACAATGCTTCTCCACGTATCTGTGTGTGAAAACTGGGGTAGACAAAAGCTGGACCCCAAAACAAACTGTCAAGGGAATAAGTTGAACTATGTCATTTATTATACACTCAACCAAACCCAGGTGCCTGCAATGTACTAGATAAAGTTCTAGTCTCAGAACATGATTCTAGGAATTGAAATTTGTCATTCTTTTTCCATCCCTCACCCCTCTACCTCCAGCAACTGAATTCTCTTCCTATGTTGAAGAGTCTTATTAGAAGGCAGGGACTACCTCCTTCTACAAAGGAGAAAAATTCACTTTCCCCAACATTATTGCAGTTAAACACTGCAAGAGGCTTTGGCTGCACAATTTAGATAACCACATGTGGGCTTCTAATCAGGATGAGATGACACAGAGAGGCTGGGACAGTAAATACTGCATTTTGGTAAAGATGGCTGAGGAGCAGTAGTGGAGCAGTTCTCAGGAGCAGCAGTGATAGCAGTCTTTGCCACAGGGCCCAGTGTCGGCCATCAGGGTATCAGAGGTATATGCAGTAGCATCTGTGCTCAGGAGCAGGGACAGTGGTTCCTATGAGAGATCTGAATTAGGGTGGCTGTGGATTATGTTCCTGGCTGTGTAGCTTCAAACCTGGTTCTGTGTCCAATGTGGTTTGGCTGTGTCCCCACCCAAATCTCAACTTGAATTGTATCTCCCAGAATTCCCACATGTTGTGGGAGGGACCCAGGGGGAGGTAATTGAATCATGGGGGCCAGTCTTTCCCATGCTATTCTCATGATAATGAATAAGTCTCCTGAGATCCAATGTGTTTATCAGGGGTTTTGGCATTTGCTTCTTCCTCATTTTCTCTTGCCACCACCATGTAAGAAGTGCCTTTCGCCTCCCACCATGATTCTGAGGCCTCCCCAGCCAAATGGAACTGTAAGTCCAATTAAACCTCTTTTTCTTCCCAATGTTGGGTATGTCTTTATCGGCAGTGTGAAAACGGACTATGGACTAATACAGTGCCCTTCCCCAAAATAAAATGAATACTAATACCAATATGTACACTCCTTTATGTTTAAATTAGAAAAATTTGCAAGTCATTGTTTGCTCCAAGGAGTGAGTGTGAAATCATTCTGGAGAGTAGTTTCAGAAAGCAGCATTCAGATATTTTTTCATTCTGCTGAGCTGTGAGCCACTTCTCAATCTTCCATCTGGCTATACCCCATGATAGAGAAAATGACATTTATCTCTCAGCATCCTGTCTTATAATTAAAGAAACACATCCTCCTTAAAAATAAATAAATAAATAAATAAAAAACCCAGAATAAAGCAACACTTAAATGTGGGTCTGAGACCCCTCCCCATCCTGGGCATTCTCCAGCTACTGATCTCAGTGATATCAAATCTGGCTGAGCACCAGGTTTGCTGTGGGCTTGTTGTAGAATACTCAGGCCTCTCCACAGATGCCCCTGTGTCAGAATGTTGCGCATGGAGTGCAGGAATTGCTTATTAACAAGCCTCACAGGCGAGGCTGATGCATAGCCTAGGAATCCTGGTCTGTGTTCTTGCTACCAAAAGTGGGATCTGAAGACCAGCAGCATCAGCGCCAACAGCAACATTATATAAGTAGGAAATCTCATTCTCGATTCCAGATCAGCTTAGACTTAAGGTGATGTCCAGGTGATTCCTGTCCACAGGAAAGTCTAGAACTCCCTGGTCTATGTACCTTCTAGATGTGGGGTCAGGACTGTGCAGTCTGATCTAGGTGTGTTGTCTGATCAGATCCTTTAGCAACAGAGGCCTAGTGTTCAGTCCTTGTTCCTGTTCTCTTCTACAGCCAATCACTCCCTTGGAGACGTCATTCAGACTCAAGGCTTTAAATAACTGTTATATGACATCACCTCCCAAGTCTATTTCTCCTAAATGTCTCCAGATTCATCTGTCCAACTGCCAACCCGACTACCTCACTGGTATTTCTCAGCGGCATCTCAGATCCCACGTCTCCCATAGTGACTGCCTGCGACGTCCCCTCCTCTCATATGCTCCTGCTAGTCTTCTCATTCTCAGCTGATGGCAACTCTTTTTAGTCACAGTCTGACATTTTTGGTATCCTTTACTCTTCTTTCTCATACCCCAGATTTAGTCCATTAGAAAATGCGGTATAAAGTGATTGGAAATAGTAGGAATCCAATCACGTCCCACTATTTCCACTGCTCACACCCCAGTTGAAGTAACCGACATCTCCAGCCTGAAATACTGCACTCATTTCCTACAGTTTTCCCACCTGCCTTGCTCATCGCCGGCCTTTGGATTCTGTTCTCAGCAGAGCAGCTACAGTGATCCTTTTAAAAGAGAAGTTGTGGCATGTCTTTATTCTGCTTAAAACTATCTCATTCAAAATCAAAATCCTTCCCACATACTTGAGCCCTATGCCCACATGATCTGACCAAACCCCTGACCTTATCTCAGTGACTCTCTGCTCTAGCCATACCCGATCCCGTGTTCTTCCCAGAACACACAGACATGATCCTGCCCTGGTACACTGACACTGAAGGTTCCTACTCCCTAGAAAAAACTTCTTCCAGATACCCTCATGACAAATTCCTTTATGTCCTTCAAATATTTCATCAAAGGTCACCTTCCCAACAAGGCCCACGCTGACAACCCCGGCACAATAGCTACCTTCTCTGTCCCACAACCCATACTCTGATCACCTGTTCCACAGCACTTATCACCTTCTAACACTTTCCTCATTTACTCTGCATATATTAGAGTGTATGTACCGTCTGCCTCTTCCCACTGGAACACATGCTCCACAAGGCTAGAGATTTTTCTGATTTTACTTCAATGACTTTCCCCAGATGCAAAAACATTCTGTCATATGTCTGGCAGACAGCAAATGTCGGCTGAATGAATCATCACTGTAGAGCACCTCCTATTCTAAAGGCAGTATCTTTATTAACATAGCCTCAGGCCAAATGCGGTTTTGCAGCAACGACAGCACAAGGTCCCCTCACACTGACATCCAGGCCGCCTGTGCTTTTCCCAGCAGTGCTGCTTGTGTGTCCTCCCTCCCTTCCTCCCTGCATCCCTCCTTCACACCAACCCTCTGCACACTGCAGCATGCAATTATATTTCCCTCTTAGGAAAGAACAATCTTTGACTATGAATCCCAATTTCCAAACAAATATAAATCTAAGTTAGACTTTGCTTTATAGATCCATGAGTTTGCATTAGAGCCAGTGCTAGGATTACTACAACTCAGGGAAGGGAGAGTGGGTAGGAGAGCTGAGCAGAAGAGGAGTTCCACTAGAAAGTTACCTAAGATGAGAACTTGTGGCATCCCTCTTCTCTGCTAATTTCAGAATCTAGTTCCTTTAAAAAGGTTGGGGAAAAGATAGAAAATACAATCCAAGAAAGAGCCCTGGAAATAGGGTAAAAGCTGCACGGGCTTGAAAATTCATCTCTTAATACCACAGACTTCTGTGTGCAGGGGCTGCCTTCCACCTTGTGGGGTTAATGACAGGAAAAATGACTCCTGCTGCTGTCAGAGATGAGGGACACCCAGGGGAGAAAGAGATCAGAACGCAGACACCAGAACAGGAACAGGCATAGTCCTCTACAGAAACAAAGAAACCAAAAATAATGATACAAAATATTAGGGCCAGACCATAGACTGACCCAGCCCATGAAGCCCTTGCTGTCCACGGTCCTAGAGACAGGACAAGGCCCAGGCAATGTTTGTGTGCCTGTGATCACAGGTCCTGGTGAAACAAGGTTCTACTGAAGGGACACAAACAATGGAGCAGTGAAGATGACCAACCCAATGAATGACCACGTCAAATTCCATGATGAACTGAGCATAGGCTGTCCACACTCAGCTCCTCACAGCCCTCTCTCTCCTGTCTCCACCTACAACAGGCCCAGCACAGCAAAAATGGATTCTGGAAGGCTCTCAGGTTTTACTTCCTCTCTCAAGTTTTAAGAGTCTTGCTCTCCTTTCATTGAACAATCAACCCAACCTCATGGCAAGAATTTGAAAAATTCATATCCAGGTTCTTATTTTGAATAGTGGAGTAAGTGGCAGCTCAGTGAAACTTAAAAGTTAAGACATGAATAGAAATGTCCCAGCCTCACCTCTGTTGAAAAAAAACTTGACCGGGGAAGAGAGGACAGGTTAGTGTGGGGTGGTGGTCCTGGTGGCAGTGGTGGACCAGTAGCCCATTTCCTCACATTATGCTAACTGGAACACAGACACATAGATATATTCACGTGTCAAGTGCAGATATAGAAGTCAGGAGCTCTTGAAATTACAATGGTGTGTGTCAGAGGAAGGACCTGAAGAAATTTTGTATCTCTCAGTCCCACTCAAGGCAGTTGTCTCAAGCTACAGGAGAAAATAATCATAAACAAATCCAGGGCAGTCACTGTACCTGGTGACACTCTGAACAGCCTACCACATGGTCAAGATGTCTAAATCCAGAGAACCCCTCAACAGAATCATGTCCCCTCTGCCTCACCCCCACCCACTTCAGGCCCCCCCATGTCTCACCTTTACAAGTATCATGAGATGCATCAGAGTACTGAGCACAATTGCTGCCTGGGGTAGAACAAAAATAGGAACTGGTCAGAGCCCACAGGAGATGTGGCTAAAGGAGGAATCTTGTCTACACTGTCCCAACGATCTCAGGGAGCAGCCCTCTAATCCCCCATACTAACAGGCAGCCCGAGCATAGCTCCTCCTTGTTCTATCTGTGAGAAAAAAACAACCTGTGAGAGGTCAGGGAGGACATGGGGCATGAGGTCCTTAAGGAAACAGCAAATCCTGGACCCCAGGAAAATTTCCAGAACTGTGACTGCAGACCCAGGGCAGGATCAGGAAACATGAGGAAAGCAGGTGTGGTGACTGGACCAACTGCCCTCCTGAGGTCTGTCCTCAGTAGGGATCTTCCCTTGTGACCTGTGACTGCTGGGAGGTCCCCATCACCACAATCATCAAGGTGATAAATTTGTCCTTCGTTTTCACATGTGCTTCACAAAAGAGCAAGTGTTGGCACACAGGGCCCCAGGCTAGGTCGGCCTGTGTGTCGACGGTGCTTCCCAGTGATGAAGCAAGTCACAATTCTACCTGTGGCTTGAAACCCACAGTGGAACAAGAAAACCCAGACCCCACCTCTCACCCCTTCCCTACCTGAGCTTTTCTTCCTCCACATCGCAGCAGCAACCACAGCTCCAGTGACCACAGCTCCAAGGAGAAACAGGCCAGCAACGATGCCCACGATGGGGATGGTGGGCTGAGAAGACGGCTCTGGGAAAGGAGAGGGAGGTGAGGGGTTCTGACCCCCAGGCCTCAGCCCTGCCCTGCTGAAGGTCTCCTGCTTTCCCTGAGAGGAGACAACTTACACCCCTCCTTACCCCATCTCAGGGTGAGGGGCTCTGGCAGCCCCTCATGCTGCACATGGCACATGTATCTCTGCTCCTCTCCGGAAGGCACCACTACAGCCACCCACTTCTGGAAGGTTCCGTCCCCTGCAGGCCTGGTCTCCACAAGCTCCGTGTCCTGGGTCTGGTCCTCCCCATCCTGCTGCCAGGTCAGTGTGATCTCCGCAGGGTAGAGGCCCAGGGCCCAGCACCTCAGGGTGGCCTCATGGTCAGAGATGGGGTGCTGGGTCACATGTGCCTTTGGGGGATCTGAGGGGAAGAGTCAGAAAATTCAGGCACTTTGCATTCCTCATAGGACACTCCAGCAGCATACATGTGACCATCCTGAGAATGGACAGGACACCTGGGATGGGGAAGGGAGCACAGAACCCAGACACCAGCCTGGACACAGGAATCTGGGATAATCTCCTATTCCTTGGAAAGTTCGAGTCTCTGATGGGGGAGCAGGGACTTCTGGTCCTGACCTGAGTGGAGGCCAAGGCACTCAGAAGAGCTGGAATCGGAGCCACGGACACACTGAGTGTGAGGGAGAGAACAAGGCCTGAGAGGAAAATTCCTGGTGCCCCAGGCTGCTGCAGGGGTCAAAGGGGACCACGGATCAGTATTCCAGGGACTGTCTTCTCCTCCATTTCCTCAGGGACTTCATCCCTTAATTGTCCCAGAGAGCAGGGTGGGCTCTCAGAGTTACTCTCTGGTACAGGATCTGGAAACCCAGGATTCTTCCCATTCAGGACCAGTGGGAGGGCGATATTCTAGCATTGGTCCCATTTTCCTACTCTCCTGGTGGGAGGCCAGCCCGGGAAATCTACAGGAAATGAGGGAGGCGCCCCCGTGGCCCCTGGTACCCGCGTGCTGCAGCGTCTCCTTCCCGTTCTCCAGGTGTCTGCGGAGCCACTCCATGCACTTGCCCTCAGGTAGGCCCTGACCTGCTCTGAGTATTTGTCCGCTTCCCACTTGTGCTGGGAGATCTGAGCCGCTGTGTTCGCGGCGGTCCAGGAGTGCAGGTCCTCGTTCAGGGCGATGTAATCCTTGCCATCGTAGGCGAACTGTTCATACCTGCGGAGGAGGCGCCTGTCGGGCCCACGTCGCAGCCATGCTTCCTCTGGATGGTGTGAGAACCATGGCCTCGCCCCCGCCGTCAGCCCCGAACACCGAGCCCCGCTCCCGCCCCGACCAACCCGCGGGGATTTTGGCCTAAACTGAAATTAAACCGGGTAAAGGCGCCCGAGTTTCTTCCCTGGTCGAGGGTCTGGGCAGGTCCCGCAGCCTCGGGGTGGATCTCAGACCGGAGACTCAGACCCGGGACCTGGGCTGTCCGTGGGGGATGGGGAGGGATCGTGACCTGCGCCCCGGGCCAGGGTCACTCACCGGCCTCGCTCTGGTTGTAATAGCGGAGCAGGGTCCGCAGGTTCACTCGGTAAATCTGCGCGTGGCCCTTGGCGTTCCGTGTCTCCTGGTCCCAATACTCCAGCCCCTCCTGCTCCACCCACGGCGCCCGCCGCTCCATCCTCGGACTCACGGAGTCGCTGTCGAACCGCACGAACTCTGTGTCGTCCACGTAGCCCACGGCGATGAACCGGGGCTCCCCGCGGCCGGGCTGGGACACTGCGGTGCTGAAATACCTCAAGGAGTGGGAGCCTGGAGGCGAGGAGAGGCTGAGACCCGCCCGACCCTCCTCCCGGCGCGGCTCCCCGGGCCGGGCGGGCCACTCGCTTCTCCCCGCAGAGGCCCTTTCCCTCCCGACCCCGCACTCACCGGCCCAGGTCTCGGTCAGGGCCAGGGCCCCCAAGAGCAGCAGGAGGAGGGTTCGGGGAGCCATGACCCCCATCCTTGGCGTTTGGGGAGAATCTGAGTGCGGGTGGTTGCGCCGGGACTGTAGTGCCGGGATCGTAGTGCCGGGATCGCGGCGAAGCTGATTGGCTTCTCTAAAAACCCGGCACCCAATGGGAGTGAGAAGTGGGATTATGTCACAAGTATCCAGGAAGAAGGTTGGGAGAACCAAAACTCAGGGGAGTGGGCAATCCCCAACCCTGTGACTCCCCAGTGCAGTCATCGCTCTTGGGGCCTGAGACCCAGAGAGCCACGCCTGGGGCCTGGGACTTTGTCCTGACCTCTCTTTTCCTACGCCAGCCTCTTTGTCACACTGACTGCCTGAGTCCTGGTCAAGGATCTGTCTGTGGAAACTAGGGAGAGAACCCCCAGGCTGGGCCCAGCCCCTTCCCATTCACGCTCATCCTGGAATCCTCGTCCCTGAACTGGACTTCCGACTCCTTACCTCTCCCCTTGGACTATCCTAGAAGAAAACTCACCCCAGGGAACTTTGATGCCAGAGAGTGAGCTCGCCTTGGGAATGGCGGTGTAGAGAAAGGGGTTTTCTCTTTAAACCTGGTGAAGTTGTGGCTGAAGGCACAAGATAGAGATTCTCATAGTGACCAGGTTTTTTTGTTTGTTTGTTTATTAATACAGTGGTTAGCACAATCTAACCCCTGAATGATCAGGATTCTAATCTGTAAAAGACCTGATTTTGCCTGCTTCATATATAAGTGTATCCAAACAGCATTGCAATTCGAGTCACAAAGCTTCTAAGTTTACTTTCCCAGACTGTGGATCCATGACTCTGGGTTGTTGCATTTAAAATTATCTTCATTCCATAGCCCGAGTTTCCCTGTGTGAGTCCAGGACATCTCAATACAAAGAAGCAGGATTTGTTACTGTATATTGTAACAAGGAGCCTCAAAATTGCACTGAAGTCAAAATGCCTATCATCAATGCTTAAGCACTGCTTGTTTTTATGAATTATGCACATCTAAGCAGTGTGCACATTTTATTTGCATACTTGGTATTTTTTTACTCTTATGTTTTTAATCATGAGGAGGCCATTAGTTTTTGGCAGTCCCACAAAATGTATTAAATACCGAATGCATGTCAAGAACCCCCTGCTAGGCTCCTCCACTGCTTTAGAGTCCTTTCCCTTGCTCCTTTTCCTCACTTCCTGTCTCTCCAGCCCTTCTCTCTGCCCCTCTCATCCCTCACACCCTCCCCTCCCCTTAGTCCCTGCCACCCTCTCACCCCTGAATTGTGGCACTAACACTGTCCCTCACTTCCTGCCCATGTCTGTTCTCCCCACAGTGCTCAGCAGTTCTGCTAATGTGACTCAGGTCGTGTCATTTCTTCACTTACAATGGTTGGGTTTTGGTCTACCATTTTGCTGTATGTTTTCAATTTGTCTCGTATCTTTTTGTTTCTATTCCTCCTTTCCTACTTTCTTATGTGTTAAGTAAACATTTTTTAGTTTATGGTTTTAATTCTAGTGGCTTTTAGGTATATTTCTTTACACTAATTTTTTATTGTTGTAAGAATTGAAACCCGATTCCTTGACTTTTCATGGTGAAGTTCAGGTAATATTAAGCTGCATCCAGCAAAATAAAGGACACTTGTAAGAGTGTAGTTTCATGTAACCTACCATTGTGCTATTCTTGTTGTATATATTACATCAATATACTTTATAAACTCAATAATACAGTAATACTTTTTGTTTTAAGCATTCATATTGTCATTAAGAAAATGAGTGTGTATGTGATCTGTGTATGTGCATAATTTCTGTTGTTAATTATCCCTTTCTATATATCTAGGTCACCATCTAGTATCATTTCCCTTCAGCCTGAAGAACTTCCTTCAAAATTATACGTAGTACAAGATCCCTAGGAAATGAATTTTCTGATTTGGATTATGTAAAAGTGTCTTCATTTTTGCCTTCTTCCCCCACCTTTTTTTTTCCTAATTGGGGCGTTTGTGTATAATAAAACTCACCAGTTTTAGCTACAATGTTTTATGAATATTGGTAATTATTTATAGTCATGTAACTACCACATTGCCCAGATAGAGGACAGTTTCTTTTCCCTAAAAACTTTCCTTATGCCCCTTTTCTATTTAATCCTTGCCTCCCACCCTCACCCCCTTCTCTTCACTCAACCACTGCTGTGCTTTCTGTTACTGTAATAATGAAATTTCTAGAATTTCATGGACATGCAATCATATGTTATGTAGTCCTTTGGTCTCTCACTTGTCATAACAATATTTGAGATTTTTCCATGTAGTTAAGAGTAATAATATTTCATTCATTTTTGTCACTGAGTAGCTGCTGAGTATTGTTGGAATTCCAGTTTATTCGTTGGTTTCTCTATTCTCCAGCTGATAAACGTGGGTTATTTCCGGTTAGGGTCTGTAATTAATGAAACCACTATAAATAACTGACTACAAGTCTTTGCATGGCCTTAAATTTTCATTTCCTTTGGATAAATAAATATTTGTGGAATTGTTGGGTGATATGGTAAATGGATGGGTAGCTGTTTAAGAAATTGCCATATTATTTTACAAACTGACTGCAACTTTTTTTTGCGTTCCTACCAACAATATAAGAGATTTTTATTTTTTCCATATTCATACCAGTATTTAGAATTATCATATGTCTTTTGAACTTTACTTATTCTAGGTGATGTGTGATGGTTTCTCATTGTGGTTTTAACTTGCACTTCTTTGATGACTAGTATTGTTGCTATCTTGTCATGTTTGTCTAAGAGACTTATTACATATCTTTTGTGAACAATTTTGCAAATTTAATTATTACTTCCAGAGACTTTTTCAGAATTCCTTATTGTTTTCTACATATGTAATTAAGCTGAGAAAGAAAGATTTTATTTCTTCCTTTCCTATCTATTGTTTTTTTTCTTTTAAAAATTATTTATATTTAGTAAAGACAGGGGTCTAACTATGTTGCTCAAGCTAGTCTCAAACTCTTGAACTAAAGTGATCCTCCCACCTTGGCCTCCCAAAGTGCTGAGATTACAGGCATGAGGCACCACACTTGGCCCTTTTATTGGTCTTTTATTTCATTTTCTTGCCATATTGCACTAGTTAGGATGCTCGTAAGGTGTTTTAAACAAAAATGAGGAGAGCCACATCTTTGCTTTGTTGCTAATCTTAGGAAGTAAGCATCTGGCCTTTCATAATTGAATATGAGGGTAGCTGTAAACTTTTCGTGGGTGTCCTTAACCACATTGAAGATATTCCTTTCGATTTTGTTTGCTGAGCTATTTTGTCATGAAATGGTCTTGATTTTGCAAGTGCTTTTTCTGCATTGACTATAATAATTGTGCAACATTTGTTCTTTGTTCTATTAATTGGGTGAATTGTATTGTTTAATTTTCAGATGTTAAACCAACCTTACTTTCCCTTTAAAAAAACCAATATGGCATGGCATATTATTCATTTTATGTATATCTTAATTGGATAACGTTTTGTATTGAATTGTGAGTCTGTGTTCAAGAGGAATATTTGTTCTTGATTCTTTTTCTTGTGATGTTCTTGTCTGGGATTTTTATTTGGGTAATGCTGGTGATATGGTTTGGCTCTATGTCCCCACCCAAATATTATCTTGAATTGTACTCCCATAATTCCCATGTGTTGTGGGAGGGACCCAGGGGACCCAGTGGGAGATAATTTGAATCATGGGGTTGGTTTCCCCCATACTGTTCTCGTGGTAGTGAATAAGTCTCATGAGATCTGATGGTTTTATCAGGGGTTTCTGCTTTTGCATCTTCCTCATTTTCTCTTGTTACCGCCATGTAAGAAGTGCCTTTCACCTCCCGCCATGATTCTGAGGCCTCCCCAACCATGTGGAATTCTAAGTCCAGTTAAACCTCTTTTTCATCTCAGTCTTGGGTATTTCTTTATGAGCAGCGTGAAAACGCACTAATACAGTAAATTAGTACCAGTAGAGTGGGTGCTACTGAAAAGACACCCGAAAATGTGGAATTGACTTTGGAACTGGGTATTAGGCAGAGGTTGGAACAGTTTGGAGGGCTCAGAACAAGACAGAAAAATGTGGGAAAGTTTGGAACCTCCTAAAGACTTGTTGAATGCCTTTGACAAAAATGCTGATGGTGATATGAACAATAAGGTCCAGGCTGAGGTGGTCTCAGATGGAGATGAGGAACTTGTTGGGAACTGGAGCAAAGGTGACTCTTGTTACGTTTTAGCAAAGAGACTGGTGGCATTTTGCCCCTGCCCTAGAGATCTGTGGCACTCTGAACTTGAGAGAGATGATTTAGGGTATCTGGCAGATAAAATTTCTAAGCAGCAAAGCATTTAAAATGTGACTTGGGTGCTGTTAAAAGCATTCCATTTTAAAAGGGAAACAGAGGATAAAAGTTCAGAAAATTTACAGCCTGACGATGCAATAGAAAGAAAAACCAATTTTTTTGAGGAGAAACTCAAGCTGGCTGCAGAAATTTGCGTAAGTAACAAAGAGCCAAACGTTGATCCCCCCAAGACAATGGGGAAAATGTCTCCAGGGCATGCCATAGGTCTTCATGGCAGCCCCTCCCATCACAGACCCAGAAGCACAGGAGGAAAAAATGGTCTCCTGGTCCAGGCCCAGGGTTCCCATGCTGTGTGCAGCTTAGGGACTTGGTGCCCTGGGTCCCAACTGCTCCCACGGCTGCTAAAAGGGGCCAAGCTTGGTACAGCTTGGCCCATGGCTCCAGAGGGTGCAAGCTTTAAGCCTTGACAGCTTCCACATGGTTTTGAGCCTGCAGGTGCACAGAAGTCAAGAATGGAGGTTTGGGAACCTCCACCTAGATTTCAGAAGATGTATGGAAATGCTAGGATGCCCAGGCAAAAGTTTGCTGCAGGGGCAGGGCCCTCACGGAGAACCTCTGCTAGGGCAGTGTGGAGGGGAAATAGGGGGCTGGAGCCCCCACACAGAGTTCCTATTAGGGCACTGCCCAGTGGAGCTGTGAGAAGAGGGCCACGGTGCTCCAAATCTCAGAATGGTAGATTGACCAACAGCTTGCACTGTGCACCTGGAAAAGCCAGATACTCACGCCTGACTGTGAAAGCTGGCTGCATAGATTAAATTGAAAGTTGTTGCCTCCTTTAATTTCTAAAAGGTATGTGTAAAATTGATGTTATTTCTAAATTATTTGTTAGATACATTTCATCAATGAAGCCTTCTGGACCTGGAGTTTCCTATATGAGAAGGATTTTGATTACACATTCAATTTCTACAATCAATATATGACTGGCCACATTTTCTATCTCTTCTCAGGTCAGTTTTCATAAGTTTTCTCTCTCAAGGAAATTGTTCATTTCATTTGCTTGTCAAACTTATTGACATGAGATTATCAATATTTCTTTTTGAGATCTAGAGAGTGTGCACTGATGTTCGTTTTTTCTTGACATTGTTAATGTGCATCTTTTTGTCTTGATCAGTCTAGCTAGAAATTTATAAAGTGTACTGATTTTTCCCCATAGAACCAATATTTGGGTTCATTAATTTTCTCTGTCTTTCTGCTTCATTTTTTCCATTTAATTATTATTTTCTTCCTTCTCCATGCTTTGGTTTAATTTGTTTTTCTTTGTTTCTTATAGCAGAAGCTAATTTACTAATTTGAGACCTACCTTCTTTCTTAATATAGGCATTTAAGGGTATTGGTTTTTTCTCTAGTACTACTTCAGCTGCATCCCATACATTTGATATGTATGTTTCATTATTCTTCAGAATACAGAAGACTTTCTAATTTCTCTAGATTTCCTCTTTGAATAAATTGTCATTTAGAATTTTGATGTTAATTTCCAATACTTGGTAGTATTTTCATCATCATCTGTCTTAGTCAATCTGGGCAGTTATAAAAGAATACCATAGACTATGTGGCTTGCAAACAACAGAAATCTATTTCTCACAATTCTGGAGGCTGGAAAGTCAAAGATCAAGGCCTGGGAAGAGTCCGTGTATGGTAAGGGCTGCTTCCTGATTCATGGATGTTGCTTTTCCTTGGTGTCCTCACATGGTGGAAGGGGCAAGGAGCTCTCTGGGGTCCCTTTTATAAGGGCATTCATTTCATTAATGAGGGTTTTGCCTTCATTGCATGATCACTTCCTAATGGCTCCACCTCCAAACACCATCACATTAGAGATTAGGTTTCAATTATGAGTTTAAGGATGACAAAAGCATTCAGTCCCACAGGATCATCTTATTGTTACAGATTTCTTTTTTTTAAGTTATTTTTTTTAATGTCTATATATTTTTATTATACTTTAAGTTCTAGGGTACATGTGCACAATGTGCAGGTTTGTTACATATGTATACATGTGCCATGTTGGTGTGCTGCAACCATTAACTCGTCATTTACATGAGGTATATCTCCTAGTGCTATCCCTCCGCCCTCCCCCCACCCCACAACAGGCCCCGGTGTGTGATATTCCCCTTCCTGTGTCCAGGTGTTCTCATTGTTCAATTCCCACCTGTGAGTGAGACCATGCGTTGTTTGGTTTTTTGTCCTTGGGATAGTTTGCTGAGAATAATGGTTTCCAGCTTCATCTGTGTCCCTACAAAGGACATGAACTCATCCTTTTTTATGGCTGCGTAGTATTCCATGGTGTATATGTGCCACATTTTCTTGATCCAGTCTATCATTGATGGACATTTGGGTTGGTTCCAAGTCTTTGCTATTGTGAATAGCGCCACAATAAACATACGTGTGCATGTGTCTTTATAGCAGCATGACTTATAATCCTTTGGGTATATACCCAGTAATGGGATGGCTGGGTCATATGGTATTCCTAGTTCTAGATCCCTGAGGAATCGCCACACTGTCTTCCACAATGTTTGAACTAGTTTACAGTCCCACCAACAGTGTAAGTGTTCCTATTTCTCCACATCCTCTCCAGCACCTGTTGTTTCCTGACTTTTTAATGATCATGATTCTAACTGGTGTGAGATGGTATCTCATTGTGGTTTTGATTTCCTTTTCTCTGATGGCCAGTGATGATGAGCATGTTTTCATGTGTCTGTTGGCTGCATAAATGTCTTCTTTTGAGAAGTGCCTGTTCATATCTTTGCCCATTTGTTGATGGGGTTGTTTGTTTTTTCTTGTAAATTTGAGTTCCTTGTAGATTCTGGATATTAGCCCTTTGTCAGATGAGTAGATTGAAAAAATTTTCTCCCATTCTGTAGGTTGCCTGTTCACTCTGATGGTAGTTTCTTTTGCCGTGCAGAAGCTCTTCAGTTTAATTAGATCCCATTTGTCAATTTTGGCTTTTGTTGCCATTGCTTTTGGTGTTTTAGTCATGAAGTCCTTGCCCATGCCTATGTCCTGAATGGTATTGCCTAGGTTTTCTTCTAGGGTTTTTATGGTTTCAGGTCTAACATTTAAGTCTTTAATCCGTCTTGAATTAATTTTTGTATAAGGTGTAAGGAAGGGATCCAGTTTCAGCTTTCTACATATGGCTAGCCAGTTTTCCCAGCACCATTTATTAAATAGGGAATCCTTTCCTCATTTCTTGTTTTTGTCAGGTTTGTCAAAGATCAGATGGTTGTAGATGTGTGGCATTATTTCTGAGGGCTCTATTCTGTTCCATTGGTCTATATCTCTGTTTTGGTACCAGTACCATGCTGTTTTGGTTACTGTAGCCTTGTAGCATAGTTTGAAGTCAGGTAGCGTGATGCCTCCAGCTTTGTTCTTTTGGCTTAGGATTGACTTGGCGATGCAGGCTCTTTTTTGGTTCCATATGAACTTTAAAGTAGTTTTTTCCAGTTCTATGAAGAAAGTCATTGGTAGCTTGATGGGGATGGCATTGAATCTATAAATTAGCTTGGGCAGTATGGCCATTTTCACGATATTGATTCTTCCTACCCATGAGCATGGAATGTTCTTCCATTTGTTTGTATCCTTTTTTTATTTCGTTGAGCAGTGGTTTGTAGTTCTCCTTGAAGAAGTCCTTCACATCCCTTGTAAGTTGGATTCCTAGGTGTTTTTTTCTCTTTGAAACAATTGTGAATGAGTTCACTCATGATTTGGCTCTCTGTCTGTTATTGGTGTATGAGAATGCTTGTGATTTTTGCACATTGATTTTGTATCCTGAGACTTTGCCGAAGTTGCTTAGCAGCTTAAGGAGATTTTGGGCTGAGACAACGGGGTTTTCTAGGTATACAATCATGCCATCTGCAAACAGAGACAATCTGACTTCCTCTTTTCCTAATTGAATACCCTTTATTTCCTTCTCCTGCCTGATTGCCCTGGCCAGAACTTCCAACACTATGTTGAATAGGAGTGGTGAGAGAGGGCATCCCTGTCTTGTGCCCGTTTTCAAAGGGAATGCTTCCAGTTTTTGCCCATTCAGTATGATATTGGCTGCGGGTTTGTCATAAATAGCTCTTATTATTTTGAGATACATCCCATCAATACCTAATTTATTGAGAGTTTTTAGCATGAAGGGCTGTTGAATTTTGTCAAAGGCCTTTTCTACATCTATTGAGATAATCATGTGGTTTTTGTCTTTGGTTCTGTTTATATGCTGGATTATGTTTATTGATTCGCGTATGTTGAGCCAGCCTTGCATCCCAGGGATGAAGCCCACCTGATCATGGTGGATAAGCTTTTTGATGTGCTGCTGGATTCGGTTTGCCAGTATTTTATTGAGGATTTTTGCGTCGATGTTCATCAGGGATATTGGTCTAAAATTCTCTTTTTTGGTTGTGTCTCTGCCAGGCTTTGGTATCAGAATGATGCTGGCCTCATAAAATGAGTTAGGGAGGATTCCCTCTTTTTCTATTGATTGGAATAGTTTCAGAAGGAATGGTACCAGTTCCTCCTTGTACCTCTGGTAGAATTCGGCTGTGAATCCATCTGGTCCTGGACTCTTTTGGTTGGTAAGCTATTGATTATTGCCACAATTTCAGATCCTGTTATTGGTCTATTCAGAGATTCAACTTCTTCCTGGTTTAGTCTTGGGAGAGTGTATGTGTCCAGGAATTTATCCATTTCTTCTAGATTTTCTAGTTTATTTGCGTAGAGGTGTTTGTAGTATTCTCTGATACTAGTTTGTATTTCTGTGGGATCGGTGGTGATATCCCCTTTATCATTTTTTATTGCATCTATTTGATTCTTCTCTCTTTTTTTCTTTATTAGTCTTGCTAGCGGTCTATCAATTTTGTTGATCCTTTCAAAAAACCAGCTCCTGGATTCATTAATTTTTTGAAGGGTTTTTTTGTGTCTCTATTTCCTTCAGTTCTGCTCTGATTTTAGTTATTTCTTGCCTTCTGCTAGCTTTTGAATGTGTTTGCTCTTGCTTTTCTAGTTCCTTTAATTGTGATGTTAGGGTGTCAATTTTGGATCTTTCCTGCTTTCTCTTGTGGGCATTTAGTGCTATAAATTTCCCTCTACACACTGCTTTGAATGTGTCCCAGAGATTCTGGTATGTTGTGTCTTTGTTCTTGTTGGTTTCAAAGAACATCTTTATTTCTGCCTTCATTTCGTTATGTACCAAGTAGTCATTCAGGAGCAGGTTGTTCAGTTTCCATGTAGTTGAGTGGTTCTGAGTGAGATTCTTAATCCTGAGTTCTAGTTTGATTGCACTGTGGTCTGAGAGATAGTTTGTTATAATTTCTGTTCTTTTACATTTGCTGAGGAGAGCTTTACTTCCAACTATGTGGTCAATTTTGGAATAGGTGTGGTGTGGTGCTGAAAAAAATGTATATTCTGTTGATTTGGGGTGGAGAGTTCTGTAGATGTCTATTAGGTCCGCTTGGTGCAGAGCTGAGTTCAATTCCTGGGTATCCTTGTTGACTTTCTGTCTTGTTGATCTGTCTAATGTTGACAGTGGGGTGTTAAAGTCTCCCATTATTAATGTGTGGGAGTCTAAGTCTCTTTGTAGGTCACTCAGGACTTGCTTTATGAATCTGGGTGCTCCTGTATTGGGTGCATATATATTTAGGATAGTTAGCTCTTCTTATTGAATTGATCCCTTTACCATTATGTAATGGCCTTCTTTGTCTCTTTTGATCTTTGTTGGTTTAAAGTCTGTTTTATCAGAGACTAGGATTGCAACCCCTGCCTTTTTTTGTTTTCCATTGGCTTGGTAGATCTTCCTCCATCCTTTTATTTTGAGCCTATGTGTGTCTCTGCCCGTGAGATGGGTTTCCTGAATACAGCATACTGATGAGTCTTGACTCTTGATCCAATTTGCCAGTCTGTGTCTTTTAAATGGAGCATTTAGTCCATTTACATTTAAAGTTAATATTGTTATGTGTGAATTTGATCCTGTCATTATGATGTTAGCTGGTTATTTTGCTCGTTAGTTGATGCAGTTTCTTCCTAGTCTCGATGGTCTTTACATTTTGGCATGATTTTGCAGCGGCTGGTACTGGTTGTTCCTTTCCATATTTAGTGCTTCCTTCAGGAGCTCTTTTAGGGCAGGCCTGGTGGTGACAAAATCTCTCAGCGTTTGCTTGTCTCTAAAGGATTTTATTTCTCCTTCACTTATGAAGCTTAGTTTGGCTGGATATGAAATTCTGGGTTGAAAATTCTTTTCTTTAAGAATGTTGAATATTGGCCCCCACCCTCTTCTGGCTTGTAGAGTTTCTGCCGAGAGATCCGCTGTTAGTCTGATCGGCTTCCCTTTGAGGGTAACCCGACCTTTCTCTCTGGCTGCCCTTAACATTTTTTCCTTCATTTCAGCTTTGGTGAATCTGACAATTATGTGTCTTCGAGTTGCTCTTCTCGAGGAGTATCTTTGTGGCGTTCTCTGTATTTCCTCAATGTGAATGTTGGCCTGCCTTGCTAGACTGGGGAAGTTCTCCTGGATAATATCCTGCAGAGTGTTTTCCAGCTTATTTCCATTCTCCCCGTCACTTTCAGGTACACCAATCAGACGTAGATTTGGTCTTTTCACATAGTCCCATATTTCTTGGAGGCTTTGCTCGTTTCTTTTTATTCTTTTTTCTCTAAACTTCCCTTCTCGCTTCATTTCATTCATTTCATCTTCCATCGCTGATACCCTTTCTTCCAGTTGATCGCATCGGCTCCTGAGGCTTCTGCATTCTTCACGTAGTTCTCGAGCCTTGGTTTTCAGCTCCATCAGCTCCTTTAAGCACTTCTCTGTATTGGTTATTCTAGTTATGCATTCTTCTAAATTTTTTTCGAAGTTTTCAACTTCTTTGCCTTTCGTTTGAATGTCCTCCCATAGTTCGGAGTAATTTGATCGTCTGAAGCCTTCTTCTCTCAGCTCGTCAAAGTCATTCTCCGTCCAGGTTTGTTCCGTTGCTGGTGAGGAACTGCATTCCTTTGGAGGAGGAGAGGCGCTCTGCTTTTTAGATTTTCCAGTTTTTCTGCTCTGTTTTTTCCCCATCTTTGTGGTTTTATCTACTTTTGGTCTTTGATGATGGTGATGTACAGATGGGTTTTTGGTGTGGATGTCCTTTCTGTTTGTTAGTTTTCCTTCTAACAGACAGGACCCTCAGCTGCAGGTCTGTTGGAGTACCCGGCCGTGTGAGGTTTCAGTCTGCCCCTGCTGGGTAGTGCCTCCCAGTTAGGCTGCTTGGGGGTCAGGGGTCAGGGACCCACTTGAGGAGGCAGTCTGCCCGTTCTCAGATCTCCAGCTGCGTGCTGGGAGAACCACTGCTCTCTTCAAAGCTCAGACGGAAATGCAGAAATCACCCATCTTCTGCATTGCTCACGCTGGGAGCTGTAGACCGGAGCTGTTCCTATTCGGCCATCTTGGCTCCTTCCTCGCTGTTACAACCTCTAAAGGAATTATTTGGGGATATATATCAGATTAAATGAAAATTAAGATAAAACTTGCCAGATACAAAATGAAAACTATTGCATTATTTTACATATATGTAGAATTTTTTAAAAAGTCAAATATACAGAAATAGAGAATAAAATAGTGATTACCAGAGGTAGGGTGGGTGGAAGAAATGGGGAGATGTACCTCAAGGGATACAAAGTAGGAAATATGTAGGATGAACAGGTCTGGAGATCTAATGCCCAACCTGCCAACTATAGCTAATATCAGGGCATTGTAGGCCAGGCATGACGGCTCACGCCTGTTATCCCAGCACTTTGGGAGGCCGAGGTGGGCAGATCACTTAAGGCCAAGGAGTTCGAGACCAGCCTGAGCAGCATGGTGAAACCCTGTCTCTACAAAAATTAGCCAAATGTGGTGCCCGTGCCTGTAGTCCCAGCTACTCGCAAGGCTCAGGTGAGAGGATCTCTTGAGCCTGGGAGGTGGAGGTTGCAGTGAGCCAAGATCGCGCCACTACACTCCAGCCTGGGTGACAGAGTGAGACCTTGTCTCAAAAAAATAAATTAAAAAAATAATAAAAATGGTGTATTGTATTCAGGATTTTTGCTAAATGAGTAAATTATAACTGCTCTTGCAATGAGGGGTTGGGAGTGGGAAGGGAAGCAGGTAACTATGTGAGGTGATGGAGGTGTTAATTTGCTTCACTGTAATAACCATTTTACTCACAGCATCATGTTGTATACCTTAAAATATATTTTAAAAATTAAATTAAAAAAAGAAAATTAAGATAAAGCTTTACATTTTTTTTAAATTTAAAATTAAGATAATGGTAGGCAAAGGTGTATTAACTAAATCCAAAATGAAAGAATTCTGATATCTTGATCTTACTATCGGACAGAATTGAATTTGGGAGAGAAAAATATTAAATAAGACAACAACATTTTTTGTTACTTAAAGATTATAGGCGAAGTGCTATGGCTTATGCCTATAATCCCAGTACTTTGGGAGTCCAAGGCAGGAGAATCACTTGAGGCCAGGAGTTCAAGATCAGACTGAGTAACAGTGAGAACCCCTCTAAAACAATTATTTTAATATTAGCCAGGTGTGATGACATGCACCTGTAGTCCCAGCTACTTGGGAGGCTGAGGCGGAGAGGTAGCTTGAGCCCAAGAGTTCAAGGTTATAGTGAACTATGATTGCACCATTGCATCTAGTCTGGGTGACTGAGCGAGTCTCGGTTTTTTAAAACTCTGTCTCTGTTTTTTAAAACAAGATTATAATTCACAATTAAGATACAACTTTCCTTAAAAGTCATGTAGAAAAAGAACATCAAAATGTAAAAAGCAAAAACTATATCAATATAAGAAAAAATAGGCTGGGCACGGTGGCTCACGCCTGTAATCCCAGCACTTTGGGAGGCTGAGGCGGGCAGATCACGTCAGGAGTTCGAGACCAGCCTGGCCAACATGGTGAAACCCTGTCTCTACTAAAAATACAGAAATTAGCTGGGTGTGGTGGTGCACACCTATAATCCCAGCTACTTGGGAGGCTGAGGCAGGAGAATCACTTGAACCCGGGAGGTGGATGTTGCAGTGAGCCAAGATCGTGCCGCTGCACTCCAGCCTGGACAACAGAGCAAGACTCCATCTCAGAAAAAAAAGAAAAAATAGGCAAAAACTCACTGTTAGTAGGAATCTGTGACTGACCTCTTTTAGTCCATGACATATCAAGAAGTCAGAAAATAAGTATTAGTACAAAATACCTAGATAACAGAATTACTAAGGCCAACCTTACAGAGATATACAAAATCCTATTCTATTCCAAGAAAAAGTGCACCTTCTTTTCAAGTGTCTGAAACTGTCCAAAAATTTACAACATATAACCTAGAAAGCCTCAAAAAAAGTCCAAAAAGTAGACATAGCAAACTTTTCTTATCACAAGACTTGAAAACTATGAAACAAAAAGACCTATTAGAAAAAAACTCAGCATATCACTGACAAATAGCTTCTTTCTTAAACAAATCTTATGTTAAATAGAAAATCAAATTCAAAATTTCAAAATATCTAGAAAACAGTAATAAAAATACCATATGCTAGAAATTATGGTACTTTGTAAAAGCAGGGCTCAACAATCCATAAAAGTAGGAGGGAAAAAAGGGACAGGCAAATAGAAGAGATAAAATAGAACTACACAGCTGAGTGTGGCAGTATGTGCCTGTATTCCCAGGTACTTGGGAGTCTGAAGTGAGAGGATCGCTTGAGCCCAGGAGCCCAGGAGTCCGGCCTGGGCAACATAAGGAGACCCTTGTCTCTTAAAAAAAAAAAAAGAAAAGAAAAGAAAAGAAAAGAAAAGAAAAGAAAGAGGGGGGCGGGCGTGGTGGCTCATGCCTGTAATCCCAGCACTTTGGGAGGCTGAGGCGAGCAGATCACAAGGTCAGGAGTTCGAGACCAGCCTGGCCAACATAGTGAAACCCCATTTCTACTAAAAATACAAAAAATAATTAGCTGGGCATGGCGGCGGGCACCTGTAATCCCAGCTACTTGGGAGGCTGAGGCAGGAGAATCTCTTGAACCCAGGAGGCGGAGGTTGCAGTGAGCCAAGATTGTACCATTGCACTCTAGCCAGGGCAACAGTGCGAGACTCCAGCTCAAAAGAAAAAGAAAAAGGTAGAAATACACAAAATAAGAAATGAAAACATTCAGATATAAAAAGAAAAATTAGTAAATCTAAGCACATTATCTTGATCAACTATGCAAATTATTTTGAAAATGTGAATGAAATAGTAATTTTCCATGGATAAATACTAAATATTCCATTGCATATTGTCAGAATGGATTTATTAAAAAACAGAACAAAATTTATGTTGCTTATAAGAGACATTTTTAAAAAACACAGAAAGTTTGAGAATTAAAGGACAGAAAAAGAAATGCCATGTGAACACTAATCAATATAAAGCTGGAATAATTTTGCTAAAGCGGACAAAACACTTCAAGGCAAGAAGTATTACCCATTCTGTGTCAACCTCATTTTTTATATCATTATTCATCTCTCATATGTGTCTATCTGGTATCCCCAGCCATAATCTGGTAACCTATCTCATCACACGCCTTTCTACCCAGTGTTTTGCCCACAGGAAATGCTCAGTATATGCCAGTAGTCCTGGGTGTCTCTGCAGATAAGTTGTGTATTATCAAAATGCCTGACTTTATTCTCTGTTCAAAGCTTCTCTGTATCATGTGGGTATGATTTTGAAAACTGTCAATGTTAAATGTTTAACATATTCCTCAGACCCACTGCTGAGGAATGTCCTGCGGAGGACAGTCTAGAACTCAAATGAAAGACATGAGGAAGAAATCATTATCCCTGTGAGCCATAGAAGTGTTTGCTTTCTATGGACAACCAGAATGCAGGAAACCTCACTATCAGGCAGAGGACAATCTGATAATGAAATGTGCTCTACAGAATATGGGAGAAACTGTGGCCAGGAGTGGAGGCTGGGAACCATGTAGGAAGGGGAAGAATGAAAGGAAACTAGTTTTAGAAATGAACATGGATTCTAAATTTTCTCCAATACTTTTCTATAATCTCCTCTCATTTTATTTTTCTCAGCCCATTACCATCGTAAGTTCCATGACAATATTTTTTTCTAGAACTCCCTCCTCTATTCCATAGAATACCTTTCAACATACACTAACCAGAATAACCTCTCTCCCTTCTAAACAATCCCTTTCCAGCACTTGTCAAATTTCAGTAAGATGATAGACAGAGAAAACAATAAGGAGACATAAGTGGTTAAAATTTAAAAGAAAAAAAGCAAGCAGCACTTACCTGCATATTATGTCACTTGGGTCCTGGAAAAAAACAGAACACAGACACTGTCATAAAAATAGTTCTCAGGAGCCATCATCATTCTCTACTGTGGGATCATTGAGAAATGGGTATACACCAGGACTGAACAGAGAATTATTCTGATGGACCCGGACCTGTCCTCCCTCTGCTGCAGTTTCTTTTTTTCTTTTCTTTTCTTGTTTTTTTTTTTTATTTTTTTATTTATTTTTATTTTTTTTTCATTTGAGATGGAGTCTCACTCTGTCACCCAGGCTGGAGTGCAGTGGTGTGATCTTGGCTCACTGCAACCTCTGTCTCCCGGGTTCAAGTGATTCTCCTGACTCAGCCTCCAGAGTAGCTGAGATTACAGGCACCTGCCACCATGTCCGGCTAATTTTTGTATTTTTAGTAGAGATGGGATTTCACTATGTTGGCCAGGATGGTCTCGAACTCCTGACCTCGTTATCTGCCTGCCTCAGCCTCCCACAGTGCTGGGATTATAGGCATGAGCCACTACTCCCAACCTGCAGTTTCTTTCTTTTTTTTTTGAGATGGAGTCTGGCTCTGTCGCCC